>NC_000003.12:193705574-193856573 GCF_000001405.40 Homo sapiens
GTAAATAAGATATTCGTTGTGATGGAATAAATCGAACTGATTATTGTATTATTTTAAACATTTAATTAAATAGTTTGATTCTGGCACTAAACTTCTGAAGTATTTATTACAGAGCTTTACTAAAGATATAAAACACTTCCAGGGGAAAATCTTTGCCTTTTTTGGCATCTGGAGAGTTTCTCCATGAGGAAATTGCCTTCTTAGATGCCAGTGCTTACTCTGCACCAGCAGTTGGTAGAGTGTGGTCTTTGGGTCCCTGGGGGTCCTGAAGATTATTTCCATGGTCCACAAGGTCACCATGATTTTGATAATAATACTAATATTTGCCCTTTTCACTGTGCTGACATTCACTGGTTGTAGAAAAACCACAGCACACCACACTGGAGCCTCGGCATGAATCAAGGCAACGGCACTGCCGGTCCTAACAGGCACTATGTCATCTTCACTGCCGTGCACTCCCCTTTTTTCCAAAAAAAACACAGAAGCCTGGTACACAGAAAACATGTGCATATAAAGGATATTGGTGATCTTGAGGAAAAGTACTTGTATAATTGTTTAATTGGTGACGTAAATTACCACTTTTTTTTCAAGGAACACCATTTTGCTTAAAAGAATCACTGACAAACTACATAAGTCAGACTTGGTCACCTGGCAGCCATTTTCTCAAACTAAGCGGAGTGAGCCAGCCACTTCAAGGAAAACCACTTCTGTGCATTTATTGCCAATGATACAAATTACACATCTAAGCAAAAATGAACATTTTGAAAAACTTATATTGAGCTTGTCATTGAGCTTGACAGCTTTTCAGTGTATGTATTTCTGATGAGATAATGATATTAGTGGATGTGATTTTTGGATATTGTAAAGTGCGAAGTGTCAACAGTTGGAGGATCTGCATAACCGTGGGAACTGGTATTTCTCGAATGGTTAATGCGTTGTGGTAACAAATCAGGCATGGGTAAAGATGCCTACAAAATGGGAGCTGGACCAGAGGAGTTTAGGTCACAGAATATGGAGAAGTTCATTGATATGGTTTCGGATGCCACATTACAACTAACCTTTTTTAAGTGTGGGTGCAGTATCAGAGAAGACTCACAATTACCTGAAATGGCTCTTACATTCTTCTCTTTTTCAATTCCGTAACTGTGTGAGGCCAGGTTTTCTATATCTGTGTCAGCCAAAACAGCATATCACAATAGATTGAATGCAGAAGCAGGTAAGATAATCCGGTTATCTGCTATCAAGCCAGACATTAAAAAGAATTGCAAAAATGAAAGATGGTACTACTCTTGTTGCTATATTTGTTTTTCATCAGAAATGTTATTTATGTTAACATGTAATTGTTTTATTTTTTAAATAAATTGAGTAATATTTCTCAGTTATAATTTCTTTTTTCTTTTTCTTTTTTTTTCTTTTTTTTTTTTTTTTGAGACAGAGTTTCACTCTTGTCACCCACCCAGGCTGGAGTGCAGGGGCATGATCTTGGCTCACTGCAATCTCCACCTCCCAGGTTCAAGTGATTCTCCTGCCTCAGCCTCCCCAGTAGCTGGGACTACAGGCGCATGCCACCACACCCGGCTAACTTTTGTATTTTTAGTAGAGATGGGGTTTCACCATGTTGGCCAGGCTGTTCCCGAACTCCTGACCTCAAGTGATCCACCCGCCCCTGCCTCCCAAAGTGCTGGGGTTACAGGCATGAGCCACTGCACCCAGCCAGTTCTAATTTCTAATATAATAAATATCAACAGACATAACCTACACAAAAACTCCTGGGGTACTCAATAATTCTCAAGACATTAAACATTTGTCAATCACTGCTTTGTACTATGAGGCTTAGCTATAGGATCAGACCCTTTGTTTAAAATATCTGAAGCTCTGCACCATCCATGAAAATTACCTGTTGGCTTCTTTACCTGAAATCGGGATATATTTTATGTCAATGGCAAGTGCCAGAAGCCAGGCCAGCAAATGGCAGTGATACCTGGTATATTGGTTGCATGTCCAAATCAGCTGTACGACTCCACCGGACCTGTTCTCCCTAAGGACATGGTGGTGTCCATGTCATTACATTCATCGGATAGTTTTCAGGCCATATCTCACTTCACCCATTACTATATTCTGTAGCGTTGACCACTTCATCTTTGAAGTACTTGCTTCTCTTGGCTTCCATTACAGCACACACTTCTGATTTTCCTCCTACCTTCCTGGCTGTTCTTCCTCCTACCTTCCTGGCTGTTCTTCCTCCTCAGTGCTCTGTTCTGGTGCTCTTCCAACCGATATTCTCTTCCTAGATTTTATCCACTCCCATAGCCTCAACTCTCATTTAATCGCCAGTGCTTCCCGATGCCTATTCAACATTATCACTTGTACTTTTCAAAGATACCTTATAGCTAAAGTCATTATAATTCTTGCCCACCTGTACTCACTTCACTCTGCTCTGTTTCACTAAATGGGAATATCATTTACATCATTTACCTTTTTGCTCAAACCAAAAACTAGGGGTCACCCTTGACTCTTCCCCCAACCCCATGTCCACATCAAATCTCCACCATGGCCTATTAATTAGACACCCAAGCATCTCAAATCCATCCATGCCTTTCCGTCCACACTGTCACCATCTTGGCCCTAGTCATAATCTGCAGGGCCTCCTGACTCATTTGCTCTCTTGCTTTCCTCTGGCTTAGCCTCTGTATTATAGCCAGATCCTAGATGATTGTTATTCTTCTGCTTAAAGCCATGGTATGGATTGGCACTGTCCTGATAATGTTCAGAGTCATCAAGGGTTTTCAGGGCCCAGTGAGATCTGCCCCTGCCTTCTCCAGCCTCCTTTTTCCCTGTGCTTCAGACACTTGAGCTTTCGGGTCTATAAATACACTCTATGCTACCCTGGGCTTTTGTACGTCCTCTTCTCAACCCCGAACTCCCATCTGCCTAGCCAACTGCTACTTATCCTTAGGGCTCTGCTGAAATATCACCTCCTCTGGGAGCCCTTCCCTGACCTAGCTCCCAACTCAGACTAATCTAAGTTTTTGATATTCTCCTGTAGCACCCTAAACTTGGCCCTCTTTGTGCATGTGACATTCCCAGTTACTTACACGGTGTCCATCTTCCCATTTAGATTGTAGATTCTAAGAAATCAGAGACTGACTGCGCCTGATTTCCCCATAACACAGTCCTGGCACAATACATTGTGATCTAATGAATAAATAAGCTGATTTGAATGTCGGGGCTATAAAGGATTTTGAAGTCCCAATACATGTTCAAAAACATGGCATAAATGAATCCCTGAAGGAGAACATAGCAAAGCTAGTTTGTTACAGTTTACAAAGCTAGTTTGTTTGGATCTCTGAAGCAAACACTTCCAGGCCTCCTGATTTCTAGTAGGATTTTCTTCTCAGGATGTTATGCTCGTGAAGACCCTGGGCCCTGCAGGTCGCAGTACTGGGTTAAAATCCTGGCACTGCTGTTTTCTAGCTGTGCGGTGTCAAATTCTTCTCTAAGCCTTCATTTCCTCATTTCACACACACACACAAGTGTGTGTGTTTTCTATCTCGGGGCTTTGGGGTTAAAATTAGATAATATATTTTAAACACTTTCAAAGTGTCTGGCACATGGTGAGTGTCCAAAACTATTAGCTATTATTATGACACTATGTTGGTTTAAATTAAGATCCATCAATAATTGTTTCCAAACCAAAAACAAGAATGGCATCAGAAATATTGATGGAATTGGCCAGATGCGGTGGCTTATGCCTGTAATCCCAGCACTTTGGGAGGCCAAGGTCCAACATGGTGAAACCCCATTTCTACTACAAATACAAAAATTAGCCGGGCGTGGTGGCGGGTGCCTGTATTCCCAGCTACTCAGGAGGCTGAGGCAGGAGAATCGCTTGAACCAGGGAGACGGAGGTTGCAGTGAGCTGAGATGGCACAACTGCACTCCAGCCTGGGTGACGGAGTAAGACTCCATCTCAAAAACAAAAAAAAAGAAAAAGAAATATTGATGGAATCTTGCCCCTCTCCTGCACTGTCTACTCACCTATGCTGACACAAGTACAATTTATTCTCCAGAGGTGTTTCCTCCACTCTTTCTGCTAAGCAAAGGGTTAGCAGACATTTCAGTGGCCTCTGCTTCCAGTCAGGGCCCAGCTCTGCTCTGTGGAGCCACCGCTGCTCCAACTGCTCTGCTGGTGCTGGTGCTACGGGCTTGGGCCTGGAAGAGTGAACAGTCCAGTTCACAGCCCAAGTCCTGAGCATTCATGTCTGTTCAGGAGAGGCCCTTAAGGGTGTTGCCTGTGTGGCACCAACTCAATAAGCTGCACTTACAGATTCTGAAGAAAACGTAGGCTGTCATGTGGGTCTGTATTTTTCTTAAGAAGATGCAGAGGATTCAGGTCCAACTCATTTAGCATTGCTAAGTGAAACTCTTACCTTTGGCGCAGGGATGTTAATGATGACATTGTTAATGCGGCACACCAGTGTTTTTGTTCCAGGACCCACGGTTGATAGAGAACCCAGCATCAGGAAGAACTGCGCCACCCCTGAGCAAATGCTTTGTGCCTGCCTTCTATTGACCATTTTTCTCCTTTTACTTTGGCTGCTAGGAAGCCCAAAACTAAATTATCAGCCTATCCTTGCTCTCATATGGAGCCTTACATTATATGTCTTATAACCCCCTAGAAAGATGGACCCTTTCATCAGAAAAGCAGATTCAGTCCTTAATTTCATGGTATTAAATTTTTCCTTGACTTGATTTCACCTTGCTCCCTTTTTTTCCTCATGTAACTTTGATTTCTTCATCTGCATTATTGTGGGAATTTCCAAAAGTGACCTTAGATCCTTTTGTCCAATGAAGTAAAGTGTGAACTTAAACATGCAACTACCAGTGAGTCGGTCAGCAAGTTCCCTCGTGTGTACTGAAGGGAGTTCAGCAAGTTCCCTCGTGTGAAACTGCCCCTTTCTAAGGGGCAGGTTGCATGTCTGTAACTTCTTTCTTGTTATTTCTTTTAACTCTTCTATGACATAGGGACATGGATTAGTGAGGGAAAGCAGCATAGCAGTGCCTTATGAAAATCCAGTTCTTCTTCTAGTCTATGCGAATAGCCGAAAAGCCAGCAGGGACCCAGAGGCCGCGGAGCCGGACCGCAGAGTGGAGGCCAGGCCGGTGGGCAGGAGGAGGTGGGAACACCGAAGGCCGCCAGGACTGAATCCGCTTCTCTAATGAAAGGGCCCTTTTTTCCAGGGGATTATAAGAATATTCATGACCCTTGAGATCAGCAGGTGAGGCTCAGCCCTCCCTACTCATCCTTTGGGCAAATAGTTCAGAAAGCCGAGGTTGCCAGGATGAGAAAGAAACAGTGGGAGTTGGGAGCTCTTCCCGCTTCCCTTGGCCCCCAACCCCCTTTCATTTTCAGAGGAGGGCAGGGTGGGGGCACTTGTCCTGAGGTGAATCAAGGACTGTGTCTTTCATTTCCAAAGAGCAGGCAGCGAGGCTGAGGCAGAAGTCCCGTGACATGACTTGAGACACAAAATGGTATCTTAGCATCGAAGACTCCCTTTGACAAGAAGAAGAAAAGCCCTTTTCTTCCCAGCCCGGATTAGGCGAGGAGGGAATTCTCCGGAACATGTGTGCATTGTTTCGTGGAGGGCAGCCAGGCTGGCCTGGGGCTTGCCTCCCAAAGTCAGCCCAAGGAAGCTTGTCCTCGTGTAATTAAAAGGGAAGGGAAACAGCAGGGGGTCTTGTTCCGCTGCTGCCCACCAAAGTGGGGTCCCCGGGGGATGGTGCGGCCCAGGAAATTGGCTAAATTAATGGTTATGGGAGGCCTCCCTGAATGTGTGGGCCCTGGAGGCAGAAAGAGGGCAGGGCAGGGAGTCTCATCAGAGCCTTTCTGATAAAAATGGGAGAAAGAGAAATGCTCTCAGGGCAGGGGTGTCTAAGCTCTTGCCCCCTGACTGGGCATCCAGGCTGCCCTCGGGACACAGCACCTGAGGTGAGGGGTCAGCCCCTTGTGGAAAGCAGAGCCTCCGGGCAGTGTGTCCAGGCCCTCCCTGTCCAGCTGATGCAGGCTGGCCCCTCACATTCTCCAGCTGACAGCCAGGCCGGGAGCGAGGAGGTCACAGGTCATGGCCGGGCACTGGGGCCCTGGAGCTCACAAAGCGGGAGCTGCTTCCCTGGGCAACATGAGTTTCTGGAAAGCAGTCTCTTGTATTTGTCAATGGTACAGTGTCTCACTCAGAAATTATCGGGAAAAGTGAAACCCTGAACTGGAAGCCAACGTCTTAGGCATTTATAAGGTTTAACCCATTTATGAAGAAGAAATGTCCTTTCCTTATGAAAAAGAAAGCTTTTCTTCATGAAGAAATGCTTTATAATCGCCATTTCCTGAAAGCTTCCATTCAAAAAGGTGAACTCCATGCTTCATTTTTGCCAACTCACTTCTCTCCAAATCTTGTAGACTGGATTACAGAGGACATCGGGCAATCTTAATCAGCAGTCTGGAGATTCATGACCCCTCTCCACAGCCTGACTCCAGGGTACACGGGTAAGATAATAGTGACAACAGCCATGAAACGAAGGGGGCTGGTTTTCCATGACCCCACACATTCTGCCTAAGGCCACGCACCTCCCAAAGGCCACGATGGATGAGCAGGCGGGCCTGGGCACTCAGGTTTTTCTGGTAAGTGACGAATCTAAGTCAATATTGCAAAGTAGACGTGGCTCCCCTGGCTCTGCAAATATTGGACCAAAGACTTGAGTGAGGCGATGCTATTGACGATTACGAGATGGTAGCATTGTTGTCTTTGTTGCCATGAAGTGCAGCTCGGTGGAGCCTGGCCTAACATCCTGTGTACACAGAGGGGACAGTGTGCTCGGAGGCCCGTGTGTTTGCTCTGCCAATATGCGCCAGTGGCCAGCCCTCGAACACTCCCCCATCCCATGGTTACAGCTGGGGGTGTTGGAAACATACCGCCCTCTCCTCTACGCCCCAGGGGGCTGCCGAACAGTGTCTAAGCCACATGATTTTCTTATTTTAGTTCTTTTTTAAAAATATTTGTTTGAAGTACAGTGTACATGTATCATCCCTATAGCTTGATGAATTTTCACAAACTGCCACAGCCTTGTGTTGAGCACCCAGGACAAGAAATTGAATATTTCCAGCACCCTCCAAGCTCACCTGTGCTCCCTCCCAGGCAATCACTCCAGCAAAGTGCCCACAATACAGACTTCTAATATAGATAAGGCTGGCTTGCTTGCTTGCTTGCTTGCTTGCTTGCTTGCTTGCTTGCTTGCTTGCTTGCTTTCTTTCTTTCTTTCTTTCTGTCTTTATTCTTTCTTCTTTTTTTTTTTTCAGGGACTCACTCTGTCACCCAGACTGGATCACAGTGGCATGATCACGGCTCACTATAAACTTGAACTTCGAGGCTCAAGCTATCCTCCAGCCTCAGCCTCCCAAGTAGCTGGGACTACAGGTGCATAAAACCACAACTGGCTAATTTTTAAATTTTTTTTCTTGTAGAGACGAGGATCTCACTATGTTGCCCAGGCTGTCTCAAATTCCTAGGCTCAAGGGATCTTCCTACCCCAGCCTCCCAAAGTGCTGAGAATACAGACATGAGACCCTATGCTTGGCGTGTCTTGCCTGTTTTAAGCCGCAGAATCTTGAAACTTTACCTTGGCATTTGAAGCCAATGTGACCTGTTTGTCCAGCAGACCATGATTATGAGCCCACCAGGCACAGCCTCTTGGCTCTGCCTCTAACTTGATCAGTTCTCTTCCAAGCTCTGGCATCAAAGGCTGACTCTGTTAAAGGATGGAGTTGGTCTTTGTGTCTCTTGGGGTCCTTCCAGGGCCAGCATATGGTCCCTGGCTCCATTATCCAGTCCTGAGCACGGGAGGGGTGATGGGTCTGACCACAGAGGATTGTGTCTATTAGCCTATCTCAATCCACTGGCTCAGGCCAGTTCTCACAAGGTGACTACTCTCTTGCCACCAGGCCTCCCCTGCCTCCTCCCTCCATGCCACCATCCAGAAATAACCCAAGACAGGAGATATAGTTTGGTTATTTGTCTCCACCCAAGTCTCATGTTGAATGATTGTAATACTCAGTGCTGGAGGTGGGGCCTGATGGGAGGTGTTTTTGTTATGGGGGCAGATCCCTCATGGTTTGGTGCTGTCTTTGAGATAGTGAGTTCTTGCAAGATCTGATCATTTAAAAGTGTGTGGCACCTCCTCCCAACATTTTCTCTCTCTTGATCCTGCTGTGGTCATGTGATGTGCCTGCTCCCACTTCATTTCCCACCATAAGTAAAAGCTCTATGAGACCTCCCCAGAAGCTAAACAGATGCTGGTGTCATGCTTGTACAGCCTGTGGAACCCTAAGCCAATTAAACCTTTTTTCTTTATAAATTATCCAGACTCAGGTATTTCTTCACAGCAATGAAAGAATGGCCTAACGTAGAAAATTGGTACTGAGAGTAGGGCATTGCTAAAAGATACCTGAAAATGTGGAACCAACTTTGGGACTTGGTAACAGGTAGAGGCTGGAAGTTTGGAGGGCTCAGAAAAAGACAGGAAGATGGAAAGTTTGGAACTTTTTAGAGACTGGTTAAATGGTTGTGACCAAAATGTTGATAGTGACATGGACAGTGAAGGCCAGGCTGAAGAGGTCTCAGATGGAAATGAGAACTGGAGCTAAGGCCATCCTTGTTATGCATTAACAAAGCACTTGGCTGCCTTGTGTTCATGCCCTAGGGATCTATGGATGTTTGAATGAACTTCACAGTGATGATTTAGGGTGTTTGGCAGAAGAAATTTCTAAGCAGCAAAATGTTTCAGAAGTGACATGGCTGCTTCTAACAACCTAAGTCACATGTGGGAGCAAAGAAATGGCTTAAAGTTTGAATTTATATTTAAAAAGAACGCAGAGTGTAAAGTGGAAAATGTACAGCCTGGCTATGTGACAAAGAAAGAAAAAGCTTATTAGGAAAGGAATTCAAGCAGGCTGTGGAACAACCACTTGTTAAAGATATTTGCATAACTAAAAGGGAGTCAAGTACTAATATCCAAGACAATGAGCAAAAGGCCTTGAAAGCATTTCAGGAAACTTCATGGCAGCCCCTCCCATCACAGGCCTAGAGGCTTAGGAGGAAAGAATGGTTTCCTGGGCCAGGCACAGGGACCTGCTGCCCTGCACAACCTTGGGACACTACTCCCACATCCTGGCCACTCCAGCTTCAGCTGTGGCTCAAACATGCCCAGGTACGGCTCAGTCTGCCTCTTTGGAGAATGCAAGCCTTAAACCTTGGTGGCTTCCACGTGGTGTTAAGCCTGCAGGTGCACAGAATGCGAGAGTGGTGGATTCTGGGTGGCTTCTGCCTAGTTTCAGGGGATACTAGGCCTAGGTATCCAGGTAGAAACCTGCTGCAGGGGCAGAGCCCTCACAGAGAACGTCTACTAAGGCAGTGCAGAGGGGAAATGTGGGGTTGGAGGCCCCTACACAGAGTTGCCACTGGGGCACTGCCTGGTGGAGCTGGGGGAAGAGGGACACTGTCCTTCAGATCTGAGAATGATAGATCCACCAGCAGCTTGCATCCTGTGCCTGGGAAAGCTTCAGAAACTCAACTCCAGCCTTTGAGAGCAGCCTCAGGGGCTGCACCCTGTGAAGCTACAGGGGCAGAGCTGCCCAAGGCCTTGGGAGCCCATCCTTTGCACCAGTGCACCCTGGATGTGGGACATGGAGTCAAAGGAGATTATTTTGGAGCTTTAAGATTTAGTGACTCCCCTGCTGGGTTTAAGCTTGTGAGGGGCCTGCAGTTCCCCCCACCCTTTTTTTTTTTTTTTTTTTTTTTTTTTTTTGGTCAATTGTTTCCTTTTGGAATGGGAATGTTTACCCAATGCCTATGTCTTCATTGTATCTTGGAAGTAAATAACTTGTTTTTTTTTATTTTACAGGCTCACAGGTAGAAGTGACTTGCCTTGTCTTAGATGAGACTTTGGACTTTGAACTTTTGAGTTAATGCTGGAATGAGTTAAGACTTTGGGGAACTATTGGGAAGGCATAATTGTATTTTGTAATGTGAGAAGGACATGAGATTTGGGAGAGGCCAGGGGTGGAATGTTAGAGTTTGAATATTTGTCCCCACCCAAATCTCATATTGAATTGTAATCCCCAATGCTGAAGGTGGGGCCTGGTGGGAGATAGTTGGGTCATAGGGGCAGATCCCTCATGGCATGGTGTTGTCTTTGAGACAATGAGTGAGTTCTCATGAGATCTGGTCATCTAAAAGTGTGTGGCACCTCCCTCCCCACTCCCACTCTCTCTTGCTCCTGCGTTTGCCATGTGATGCTCCTGCTCCTGCTTTGACTTGTACCATGAGTAAAAACTCCCTGAGGCCTCCCCAGAAGCTAAGCAGATGGCTCCATGTTTGTACAGCCTACAGAACCACGAGCCAATTAAACCTCTTTTCTTTATAAATTATCCATTCTCAGGTATTTCTTTATAGCAGTGAAAGAATGGCCTAACATAACTGGTGAGTTCAGGATTCCCTCCACACCACTGGAAGGCGTCTGATTTGTTCTGGTCCTGAATCTGGCCCATTCTTTCTTAAAACCATGTCAGGCAGATTTAAACACACTCTGCTGCACGATATCCCACATCTTTCAGCATTCCCAAAGCCACTCTGCATATATGTATGGCATAGAGGGAAGGAAAGTTAAACAGCTGTCAGAGAGCAGGCCAGAGCAGGAAGTGGTTCAACTTCCTCACTCGCAGGTGGGGAAACTGCATCCTCAAAAGGGGAAGGGAGTTTCTTGAGGCCATGTTTAAAGTGTCTGGGGCCTGGCTCCCTCCAGTTCACCAAACCCAGCTCTATGAGGCTTTTTAAGGACTTTATGGCTCACGTCAAGGGAAAAAAAAAAAATCACCACCGTGGCTGACATAAACACATGCACATAAACAGCAAAAACACTTGCTTCCATCCATAGAATTTTCCATTTCATGGACTTCTCTCCTGCATTCACATCAACCCCTGCAACAACCCAGGAGGCTGCTGCTAGCTGAATCTGCCTCACTCCACAGTCAAGGCAACCCCATCCTCTATTAGCATGATCTCCATTTTACAAACGAGTACCTGAGGTTTGCACCTGGAAGTGTGTTGCCCAATACTGTGTCCCTGGCCAGGGAGCTGGCTTGGCAATGCCAAGGTTCTGGGGAGGCTCCATCTACTGCCTGCTTCCCAGTCCCACCAGGGGCAGCACCTCTGGAATTCCTGCCCACAATACCCAGGGTAGGGATTCCAGCAAGCCCCACCCTATAACCTGAGCACACAAGCTGGGTCACAATTGTCAGAATGCAAAGAGACTCCACCAACTAGAGGAAGAGAGGCTTGGCAGGGACTCTCAGCTTGCCCCCAGCCTGGGGGCCTCTGCAGGAGGACCCAGATGCCCTATAGCCCGACGCTCTTGAGAACATAATTCCCCTTGTCCCGACGCTTTTGCTTCACTTCCCTCCAAGACACAGTGCCAGCAACACCCCAGGCACTAGACGCTCTGAAGGCCAGCAGCGGAGGGCTGAGGCAGGCTGGGTGTCTGCACATGCTTGGATGAATCCTGCAAGGTGCTGCTGGGATGGACAGGGCTGGCAAGATCTGGCTGTGGGAGCACGAGGTTCCATTGCATTCAGTCTGGCTCCTGGCCTCACCCTAGGCCGGGCCCTGTTAGAGTGTTGTCCTCAGTTCAAGAGGCCCATGCAGATTGATAGGAATTGTACCTAACAAAGACAGTAATCCAGGATCATAGGCAAGAATTAACTCTGGAGAACTAGTGCTCTGAAAAGGCATAGAGTGTCATGGGAAGACAGAAAGAGCAGATCCAGGTGGAGGAGGAAGCACTTGAACTGAGTTGAAAAACAGGCAAAAGTGAACTGTCATCTGTGGCATAATAAGCCCTTACTTAACTGTGGTAACAGTCAAGAAAGTGAATAGTAAAAATGCACCTAGCATAGTGTCTGCCACATAATAGGTGTTCAATGAATGTCATGCAGGGAGTTAGGTAATTGAAGCTGGCCTAGTGGGACTAGAGCCAAGAGCGTGTCTTTGTCAAGGAAAGGGAGGAAGGCTAAGGGAAGAAATTGAAGAGTTAGGTTGTTTTAAATTGTGACAAGTTAAGGGGTTTAGATTTTTATGCTGAAGATGATGGGGAGCCACTGAAGGGTTTTGAGCAAGAAAGTGACAAGATCAGAATTGCTTTTTTAAAAGATCATTTTGCTAGGAGAAAATATTTGTAAAAACATATCTGATAAGGGACTATTATCCAATATATACAAAGAACCCTTAAAACTCAGCAATAAGAAAGCAAACCAATTAAAAATGAATCAAACTGGCCAGGCATGGTGGCTCACATCTGTAATCCCAGCACTTTGGGAGGCAGAGGTGGGCAGATCGCTTGAGGTCAGGAGTTCAAGACCAGCCTGGCCAACATGGTGAAACCCCCGTCTCTACTAAAAATACAAAAAGTAGCTGGGTGTGGTGGCGAGCACCTATAGTCCCACCTACTCAGGAGGCTGAGGCAGGAGAATCGCTTGAACCCGGGAGGTGGCAGTTGCAATTAGCCAAGATAGCACCACTGCACTCCAGCCTGGACGACAGAGTGAAACTCTATCTCAAAACAAACAAACAAACATCAAAACAAAACAAAAAAAGGAGTCAAACACCTCACCAAAACCCAAAAAAGATAGATGGCAAATAAGCATATTAAAAGGTGCTCAACATCATATGCCATTAGGGAATTGCAAATTAAAACAACAGTGAGGTACCACTACACACCTATTAGACTGGCCAAAATCCAGAACCTGACAACACCACATTCTGACAAGGATGTGGAGCAACAGGAACTCTCATTCATTGCTGGGCAAAATGGTACAGCCACACTGGGGGTCAGTTTGGCAGTTTCCTACAAACTAGACATACAGTTATTATACAATTTAGCTACACACTCCTTGGTATTTTCCCAAAAGAGTTGAAAAACGTATGTCCACATACAAATCCGCACATAGATGTTTATACAGGTTAAGCCCCTAATCCAAAAAGCCAAAATGCTCAAAAACCTGAAACCTTTTGAGCACAGACATGATGCTCAAAGGAAAGTATCTGCAAACATTTCAAAGTCTGAGACAATCCAAAACCCAAAACTCTTCTGGTCCCAAGCATTTCAGATAAGGAATATTCAACCTGTAGCAGCTTCATTGGTAATTGTCAACATTTAGAAACAACCAAGAGATCTTTCAATAGGTGAATGGATAAATAAACTGTGGTACATCCAGACAATGAAATATTCTTCAGCGCTGAAAAGAAATGAGCTATCAAGCCATGAAATAAATTTAACTTCATATGACTAAGTGAAAGAAGCCAATCTGAAAAGGCTACATACTATACAATTCTAATTATATGGCATTCTGGAAAAGTCACAACTATGGAGACAATTAAAAGATCGGTGGTCATCAGGGGTTGGAGGGAAGGAGGGTTGTCTAGGCACAGCACGGAAGAGTCTCAAGGCAATGACACTATCCTGTGTGATAGAATAGAGGGGGATGCATTTATCCAAACCCATAGAACGTTCAACACCGAGAGTGAATTCTAGTGTAAACTATGATTTGGGGTGATAATGTGTGCCAGTGTGGATTTGTTGATTGTAACACATGTACCACACTGGTGAGGGATGTTGATAACGGGGAGCTATGCGTGTGTGGGGGCAGGAGATATACAGGAAATCTCTGTACCTCCTTCTCAATTATGCTGTGAACCGAAAACTGCTCTAAAAACTAAAGGCTATTAAAATTATTTTAAAAAATCATTTGGCCATAGTGTGGAAAAAGGATTGGATTTGGAGATGAGGAAGTAGAAGGCAGAATCGGGCTGCAGTCTAAGAGACCATTTATGAGCGTATCACCAGCATCCAGGCGTGAAAGGATGAGGGTCCCAGCCCAACTATGCTAGTAAAATGAACCTGATGGAACCGACACAGGGGCTCACTATTTGCCTGTGGCTTGGCATACTCACCCTCTGAAAGGGGGCATAGAGTGGCTGGGGTGGGGGAACAATGATGTATCCCATCCTTGAATAGTACACAGAGAAAGCTGCCAGGAAGGATGCCCTGGAGGTGGGTGGGGCAGCAGGTAGGTAAAGCTAAGCAAAGGCTACCCTTGGCATCATCCTGGCTTACCTTGGCCTTGGCTCCTGGACTTGTCTTTCTCAACTGCAGCTTGCAGCGTTGACAGATGCACTCAGGGTCAGGATGCTTAGGTATAATTATGATCTTGCTGACTAGTGGGCCTTTCACTGAGCACTCATGACCTGCCAGCATTGCGCGTCCTTGAATACTCCTCACCATCACCCTGCAAGGCAGGTTTTAATGTGACCCCGTTGTCAGATGAAAAAAACTGAGACTCGGAGAGGTCAAGCAAATACTGTACGTGGTGGAAACGGAACTGGAGTTCAGTCTCTTGACTCTCTGCCCAGTGCCACAACCCTGCTGGAATTCAACAAGATAAAAAAAAACAAGGTCCTCTATGACCTTAAGAAAAGAGATATAAGAGGTTTTTTTTAAAAAAATGCGCTTTTTTTTTAACAAAAATTACACTTTTTTATTTTTATTTTTTAAATAATTTCAAAGTTGCAGAAAAATTACAAAAAAAGTGACAAGAACTCCCATATACTTTTCACCCAGATTCACCAAGTCTTTAAAAGTCGACTATATTGGCTTCATATATTGCCTTTGAATTCACGAGTTTAGACCATTTATATTTAATGTGATTATTGATATGTTGGGTTTACATGGAGCACCTTACTGTTTTAAATCTATTGTCTTGATATTTCTACATGTTTATTGACTTTTTCTTCCCCTTTCTTCCTTTTCTTTCCACTTTTGAGTTAATTAAATATAATTTATGATTTCATTTAATCTCCTTTATTGACACATTAGCTGTACCTCTCTGTTTTGTTTTTAATGTTAACTTTTGGCTTCTGGTACTTTTTTTCTTTTTCCCTTCGCTCTTATTGCCCAGGCTGGAGTGCAATGGCACAATCTCAGCTTACCGCAACCTCTGCCTCCTGGGTTCAAGCGATTCTCCTGCCTCAGCCTCCCGAGTAGTGGGGATTACAGGCATGCGCCACCAAGCCCAGCTAAATTTTTTGTATTTTTAGTAGAGATGGGGTTTCTCCATGTTGGTCAGGCTGGTCTCGAACTACTGACCTCAGGTGATCCGCCCGCCTCGGTCTCCCAAAATACTGGGATTACATGAGCGAGCCACTGCGCCCGGCCTTTTTTTTTTTTTTTTTTGAGATTGAGGGTCTCATTCTGTCACACCAGCTGGAGTACAGTGGCACAATTGCAGCTCACTGCAGCCTCAACCTCCAAGGCTCAAGCAATCCTCCTGCCTCAGCCTCCTGAGTAGCTAGGACCACAGGTGCACGCCACAACACTCAGCTAAATTTTATTTTATTTTTTTGTACAGACAGGGTCTCATTATGTTGCCCAGGCTGGCCTTGAACTCCTGGGCTCAAGCAATCCTCTAACCATGACCTCCAAAAGTGCTGGGATTACAGATGTGAGCTACTGTGCCCAGCCTATGGTGCATATCTTTAACTCAAGTAATATTATATTTCTCATATAGAAACTTACAGGAGTATGCTTCCATTTCTCCCCTCCCAATCTTTGTGCTATTGTTGCCACACATTTTACTTCTATGTATGTTATAAATTGTCCAATACATTGTTATTATTTTTCCTTTAAATAGATAATTATATTTTTTAAAGTTAAATAATAAGAAAAAAGCTCCTACACGTAACCGTTCCTGTATGAATGTAGTTGCCATTCTTGGTGTTCTCCATTCCTTTCAGTGGATCCCGATTTCCATCTGATATCACTTCCTTCTGCCTAATGGATTTCCTTTCATCTTTCTTATAGTGTAGGTCAACTGATGATGCACTCTTTCAGCTTTTCTGTGTCTGAGCAATCTATTCTGCCTTTATTTCTAAAAGACATTTTCTCTAGTTATAGAATTCTAAGTTGGTTTTACTTTTCCGAGCTTGAAAACTGTTGCTCCACTATCTTTCAACTTGCATTGTTTTTTTTGTTTGTTTGTTTTGTTTTGTTTTGTTTTTGAGACAGAGTCTTGCTCTGTCGCCCAGGCTGGAGTGCAGTGGTGTGATCTCCGCTCACTGCAACCTCTGCCTCCCGGGTTCAAGTGATTCTCTTTCCTCAGCTTCTCGAGTAGCTGGGATTACAGGCACCTGCCACCACGCCTGGATAATTTTTTTTATTTTTACTAGAGACGGGGTTTTACCGTGTTAGGCATTGTTTTTAATGTTTTTTTGTTTTTTGATTTTGTTTTTGTTTTCTGAGTTGGAGTTTCCCTCTTGTCACCTAGGCTGGAGTGCAATGGCACACTCTGGGCTCACTGCAACCTCCACCTCCCGGGTTCAAGCGATTCTCCTGCCTCAGCCTCCTGAGTAGCTGGGATTACAGGTGCCCGCCACTACACCAGGATATATCTTTTTTTTTTCTGTATTTTTAGTAAAGACAGGGTTTCGCCATGTTGGCCAGGCTGGTCTCAAACTTCTGACGTCAGGTGATCTGCCCACCTTGGCCTCCCAAAGTGCTGGGATTACAGGCATGAGCCGCCATGCCCGGCCTGTTTTTAATGTTAAGCCTGCTATAATTCTGTGCTTTGTTCCATTGTACGTGATGTGTCTTTTTTCTCTAACTGCTTTAATTTTTTTTTTCTTTCTGCTACTGGCTTTAAGAAATTTGGTTAAGATATGCCTTGTACTTTTCTTCAGTTTTCTTATGCTTGGGGGTTCGTTGACCTTCTTGGATCTGGGGGTGTATAGTTTTTATCAAACTTAGAAAAACTTTAGCCATTATTTCTTCAATACTTTTCTCTGTACTCTCTCCAACTGTGTGACCTCAATTGTATACATATATGAGGCCACTTGAAGTTATCCCAGAGCTCACTGATAATTTATTCATTTTCTCCCCAGGCTTTCTTCTCCTTGGGTTTTATTTTGGCTTGCATTTTGTATTTCGGTTGTGAGAGCATCAAATTCACTAAGTTCTCTGTGATCACCAATCTGCTGTTAATCTTGTTCAGTGTATTTTTATCTCAGATCCAGAATGATGAGAACTCAGGGTGGTGGGTGGAGAACCTACACTTGCAGCTGCAGGAATTAGAAATTTCCTAGAATGGTGGCATTTGAGACCTGCCTCAAATGTAGGGAGTGGAGCTATTTCAGGAAGAAAGAGATGCAGATTAAAAAGGATGGGGGCATCACTGGTGGAGGGACCAGTGGAAGGCAAGGCACAGAAGCCAGGAAGTATCCTGCCGATGTGGACGCTGGTTGACAGTAGAATGTTGAAAGGACAGAGAATGGGTTGCAAAGCCAATAGGGAGAGCCTTGAATGTCCCGGTGAGCCTTCAACATTTTTAGAGGGAAAAAGCATTAGGCCAGGATTGGAATCCAAAGCCCAAAACCACACAAAATCAAGACCAGAATTCCTAACAGGCATGGGGTCACGGATTCCTTGCGTTAAAGTCACTTCTTCTCCTTGGTAATTAACTCTCCCATCTGAAACAAGAGGATTGAATATTGCTTCTCTACTGTTTGGTATACACAGTCTCCAAGGCCACCTTCTGCTCTAAATGGGCATGACTCTGAGTCAACTTAATTTTGAAAGCACCGGAGAGTCATTGCTTTAGAGCAGGAGAGTGACATGCTTTTGAAGGAGATGGATATTTGAGCACTCATGAACAAGTCAGGTGAGTAAGTGCCCATTGTGACGGCAGTTAGTGAGTGTTGCAGGGGAGGAACTGCATGCTTAGATATGTGTGTTTTTCCGATTCATTAAAAAATGAAGATGAAAGAGGGCCAGAGAGAGATAGCATGGAGGATACATTTTGAAGGTTCAATCAAGTAAACATCAAATGAGGAAAAAGTGATAGCTTCAAGTGTTGAATACAACCCAGAACTGTCCAGTGGGAAATCCCAGCTGGAGGCTGGGACACCATTTATGACCCAGCTAATTCCTTTAGATGTAGTGGTCCAAGAATTACAGACAACTTGGTTCAAGTTTTTACTAATGAGATTTTAAATGAAATTCTGTAACCTGTGAGTCTTGGTTTCTTTGTTTTAAAAAATGGTAAGAATAATACCCAAATCATAACTTTGTAGTAAGCACTAAATATGATAGCATGTAATAGACTATGAATGTCATTAATATCCAGCATGTTTTTTTAAAGTAGAAATTGACAAACTGATTCTAAAACTCATATGGCAATACAAAGGACCTAGAAAGTAAACAAAACAAAATAAAACTTTGCAAAAGAAGAACAAACTAGAATGAGATTAACACAACCTGATAAACTTATATAAGTTATTATATATAACTTATTATATGAAGTTATATAATGTAGAGTAATCAGAAAAGTATAATTTGGCATAATGACAGACAAATAGATCAATGGAACAGAATATAGAGTACAGAATTAGATCCACACATACATGGACACCAGATTTTTCACAAAAGTTCAAGGGCAATTTAGTGGAGAAAGGGTAGTTTTTCAACAAATGGTGCTGAAGCAATTGGACATCTATACGCTCAATGAACTTTGATTCACTATCACACCATACACATCAGTTCACATATGTATACATACATAGTTATATACATATATTATAAGTTAATGTGAAATGAAGTATAGAGCTAAATGTTAAAACTATAATGATAAAACTAAAAAAAAAAAGAAACAGGAAAAAAACTCTGCATCCTTGGGTTAAACAAACATTTCTTAGATACAACAACTAAAGCACCATCCATAATAGCACAAATGATAAAATGGATATCATCAAAATCAAACTTCTGTCTTTCAAAGGATACTTCTAAGAGAATTCATAGGCAACACACGGAATGGGAGAAAATATATGCAAATCCTGTGTCTGATAAAGAACTTGTATTCAGAATATATAAAGAACTCTCAAAACTCAATCATAAGAAATCAAACAACCCAATTTAAAACACACGGGTGATGCTTTATACTCCAGAAAGTATGATTTAAAGGCACAAGATCATGGCCCTTGTCACAGCCATTGAATGTGCATTGAGATGGTTTTTTTTAATTTCTTAGACAAGTTCTTACTCTGTCATCCAGGATGGTGTGCAGTGATACCATCATAGCTCACTGCAGCCTCAAACTCCTGAACTCAAGCGATCCTCCCTCCTCAGCCTCCTGAGTATCTGGGACCATAGGTGCTTGCCACCACGCCTGGCTAATTTTTTTTATTGTTGTTGTAACAGTTTTGTGTAGACAGGGTCTCACTGTGTTGTCCAGGCTGGTCTCAAACTCCTGGGCTCAACCAGTCCTTCTGCCTCGGTCTCCTGAAGTGCTGGGATTACAGTGAAATTCTTTTCTATAATTTTTAAAAATTATAATTGAAAAATAAGTAAGCTGTTGTAACATGTAAGGTCGTGACAATTTTTGTAGTTGTATTTGAAATCAGATTTCTATAACCTGCATTTGTATACAGAATTCTCAGTGGCTTTATATATTGTGAAATTTTTATCTAAGGTTGAGGTGTGGATTATGCTTAAGAGTAAAAACTGAAATGAGACGATTTACTTTGCTTACAATGCTATGCTGTACAACTTGAGAATTGTATATTAATTTACCATGTATAATGAACTGAAACTGTTTATACCTCCAAGTTTTTACACTGAAGATTAACAAGCTTTTTTAAATTCAAAACTTTTTATTTTCTTATTAAGGGAATAAGCCGTTCAGCTCAATCTGCATATGTGTGCTTTTTATTTTCTTATTAAGGGAATAAACCGTTCAGTTCAATCTGCATATGTGTGCTTTTTATTTTCTTATTAAGGGAATAAGCCGTTCAGCTCAATCTGCATATGTGTGCTTTTTATTTTCTGGATGCACAGTGAAGCTTTATGCTTGTATCTCACTGCATTCTATCTGATTGCAGAAACTAAAGCACAATTTACAAGCACAGAAACAAAACAAAACAAAAAATGTAGGCGATAGATTTGAATAGACGTTTTGCTAAAGGAGATCTACAATAACAAGCAAGCACCTGAAAAGATGACATGCCACTACACACCTATTAGGACTAAAAGACCGACCATACCAAGTGTTGACAAAGATATGGAGTAACAGGAATCTTCATACACTCTTGGTGGAAATGTGAGATGGTATAACCACTTTGGAACACAATTGGAAGTTTCCTAAAACATCGAATACAAAACTATCATATGATCCAGCCATTTCATTCCTGTCTACCCAAGAGAAATGAAAGCATGTGTTTTATACAAAGATGTGTACACAAATGTGCGCAGCAGCTTTGTTTGTAACAGCTAAAAACTAGACATATCCCAAATGTCTAGCAAGAGAGAAACAGATAAACAAACTGGTATATTCATACAGTGGAACACTATTTGGCTATCAAACGAAATGGACCAGCCAGGTGCGGTGGCTCACGCCTATAATCCCAGCACTTTGGGAGGCGGAGGTGGGCAGATGGCTTGAGCTCAGGAGTTCGAGACCAGCCTGGGCAATATGGCAAAACACTATCTCTACAAAAAAATACAAAAAAAGAAATTAGCCAGATGTGGTGGTGCAGGCCTGTAGTCTCAGCTACTGGGGAGGCTGAGGTGGGATGATCACTTGACCCTGGGAGGCTGAGGCTGCAGTGAACCAAGATCACACCACTGCACTTCAGCCTGGGTGACAAAGTGACAACCTGTCTTTAAAAGAAAAAGAAAAAGAAAAAGAAAGTGGACCACTGAGACATGTAACAACATGGGTGAATCTCAAAATGATTATGCTAAGTAAAAGAAGCCACATTTTTTTTTAAAAGAGTACATACTATATGGTTCTAGGAACCATACATTGTAGGAAGTGCAAGCTGATAAATGGCGATAGTAGATCCGTGGTTGCCTGAATACAGGATGAAGGTATTACGGGGACACGAGACAAATTTGGGGGCGACAGATATGTTCATTGTCTTGTTTGTGATGATAGTTTCACAGATGCGGGAACTTATTAATTGTATGCTTTAAATATGTATAGTACGTTGTACATCAGTTATACTTCCGTAAAGAAAAAAATATGAAAATTTGGGCATCTATGTTGTACAGATATAGATTCAATTCCCATATTTAAGTCCCAGCGTCACCACTTATATTCTATATAAGCTTAGACAAGTCACTCAATCCCTCTGAATCTCAGCAGTCTCGTCTGTAAAATGAAGATGATAATATTCCTATCTTCCTTGGAAGATTATTATGAACACAGAACAAAATAATATTTATATAATGCTTAATAGCATGCTTAGGACATAGTATGTGCTTAACAAAAATTATTATTAAAGTGCTTCCCACTGCACCTGATATTAGCTTAATGCTCAGTAACGTTTTACCCCATCTCCACCCTTACTTTCCCTACTAAACTTGATGTGTGTGGTCACAAAACAGTCTGGCACTCTAGACAAAGAGGGGTCATTAGCTGCATCAGGCAGAAAAAGCCAGCTTCTGAGTGAGGCAATTCGACTGGGTCTAGATCTCCCATCTCGTCCCTGGGTGGGTGTGGCTGATGTTGGCCCCACGAGGTGAGGGCTGTAGGCAGTGCTCTTTGAGCATGGTGACTCGGCCTAAGAAGTGGCTGGCATGGTGGAGGCTAGACTCCTCCCTTTCTCCTGGACCCTCATGGAACTTTCCACGTCCACAAGTGCAGCCGTGCAGTTTGTAAGCCCCAGCTCTCCCTCCAGGGTGGAGCAAACACTTTGGAGGGTGACCCTATTGTCCAGGAGATTTCTTTGGCCACAAAAGCCCTGCTGAAGTCTCCACATCCCTGAAACAAAACTAAGACTAGAACTTTCATGAAAGAACAAGGCCCTGCTCTGTGTGGCCGCAGCAGCTGAAACTTTAGCAGCAGTGGCGGAGACAGCAACCCCACCGCTAACTTATTCTGGCAACAAAGACGCCCCCCTTTCAGTTAACCTTTCACTTCCTCTGACTTCCTTGACAAAGGGTTAGAGTTTGGAAGCAGGTAGAGCTGAGAGGTGTGGTTGGGATGGGGGTGGCGGCTGGGAGTCGTGAGCAGGTTTCAGGTGCATTAGAAATAAAGGGAGTTTGTTCAGCTTTTTATGGAAGGTTTCCTCATTTGCCTGGTGGCAGGTGATGATGCTGGTGTTAAGTATCAGACCTGGCTTTACAAACGAGCCCTGGTGGGAGGAGAGCTGAGCTCTGAAGGCCACACCTCGTCTGAAGGGTGTCTGCAGGCATTCTCGGCAGTCTGGGATTTGGGGACTTTTGGAAGGAAGGTGGCTTACATACCCCTAGGATTCCCAAACATATTGCCAGGACCCATTTTAACCTCACACCAAGCCTGTGTGTGAGTTTCATATTATTTCCATTTTTCAGATAAGACAACGAAGGCTCAAAATGTGTTTGAGCTTGGAGTCAGAAAAATGTTGTTTCATTCACTCATTCAACAAAACTGAAAATTGCACAGTGTGGGCAAAGGTATGCGGGTAAGGTAGAGAACACACCCAGGCCCATCCTCGAGGGCCTCACTGTGGTGTGACTACATCCATCATGCCTTGTTGAGTGGCCTTGGGAAAGTTACAAACCTTTTTTTTAAGCTTCAGTTTTAAGACCTCTGGAAAAAAATGGGATTATAAACCTTTACTCAAAAGATTTCCATAAAGAGAAGTTGAGTTAAATAAGATAATATCTGTCACATCTCCAGAGTCTGGCACAGAGTAGACACTCCAGAAATTTGGCCTTGATGACTATCAGTGATGAGGAGGATGGGGGTCCAGGTAACCCAGTGTTCCCATTGGGCCTGCATTATATGGGAAGAGCCACGGCAGAGCCAGGGAATCTCCTGGAGCTGCATCCATCCTGAAACCAGGGAAAAATCCAGGGATCTCATAATCCAAAATTGAGTTCCCTCCCAAACAAGGAGTAGCTTTGGCTAAGGGCTTTTATTTTGAAAGTGGAGTGTAAATTTGAGTCACTCTCATTCATTCAACACGTATTTCTTAGCACCTGCATTGGGGTATAATGTTGCTGTGTTATGTACAGTCCAGGATGGGGGACAAGCTTCAAGCTGCTATGATGCGTGCACTGACAAGCGTACCCTGGGATAACAGAGGAGGCATCTGGTCCAGCCTTGGTGTGGTGGGTGCTGCTCCCTCTCCATCCCGCACCCTCATCCCAGGCAGTCAGTCACCTGCAAAGGCTGCTTCCTGCAGCATGGCTGTGAGCCTGCCCTCTGTTCACTGTTGCCACAGCCCAGTCCACAGCCCCACTGAGTGACTACAGTCACCTGCCCATGGGCTGCTCTGTCCCCAGCGTCTCCCTTCCTCACTGAGTGCACCCGGCCATGCTTCCTGAACTCAAAGATCTCAACACCTCACTTCTTTGCTCAAAATCTTCAAAAGCTCCACTTACATGTGGGAGGCCTCTGCAGTACAGCCCAGTCTTCCAGTTTCCAAACCGACCTCCTACTTGTGGCCTGCACTCATCCCCTGCACCATATCCCCTTGACTTCAGGAAAACCAGTTGCCACTTCATATGCAGACTTGCACTGCTCACCTTCCGAATGTCCTTCCCACCTACCCCATGGAGCCCCAGCCCCACTTCTTGCACGAGGAAGACCATAATTATATATACTTTAAAAAATCAGTCTTACTCTGTGAATCGTCAACTCAGTTTCCAACTATTGACAGTAATGACTTAAGGAATGGCACTTCCCAGCCCAGGGGTACTTGCTTAGCAATCGTTGATTCCATATGTTTACAAACTGTTCTTCACAGACATTCGGACCTCAACTCACTCAGGACAGAGGGCAGGGTGGTGTCATTATTATCATTCCCATTTTACAGATAAGGAAATAGTACTAAAGGAGTAAAGTGACAAATCCAAATGAATAAATGACCCAGGTGAAATGCAGATGTAAGACCTGCCTGTTCACATCCCATGTCCCTCCCCTCCCCACCAACACATACACAACTTTAAGATCAAATGAGCTATTTTTTATTGAGGAGATTCATGTGACAAATACATATTTGTTGAACAAAGTGGTAGAGGAAACTTCCAGTCAGCATGGCCAATGTCCTGGTGGATGCAGGGGTGGCAGCTAGCCAGAGACTCAGCCTGCCTTCACCTGCCCAGAGACTCAGCCTCACATGCTATGCCCTGCAGTTCAACTCAGGGAATTGTACCAACAGGCCAGTGATTGTAGGGGAGGCAGGGGAACCCCAGACACCATCCCTGGCCTCAAGGAGCAATTTAGTGTATTTGCCAGATTTGCAAAACACTTATGCTAAAAGCTAAGGTACAAAAGATGATATAGACAGATATTCACAAGGGCTATGGGGATGCAGGGGTTACCATCAGAGCCATTGGGGACAGAATCCAAAGGTGCTCTGTGGAGGCATTGGGATTTGAGAGATCCTGAGGGAGGGAGCCATGGATTCGTGGAAAGGGAACAGAATGAGCAAAGGAAAGAACACGCTGCTCTGGGAAGAGGATAGATGGAAGTGGAGGGAGAAATGGGAAGGGCTTCTCATTCCAGAGAATTCCCTTGCTCTTCTTCCGCTTATCTGAATTCCTCTCTTTCTTTACCAACTGGGGCTGAGGCCTATTTATTTGATACTATAGCTTCAGATTTAAGAGATGCATCTTTTATTAAGTTCCATGCTCTTAATTTGATTATTAGATAAATTGAAAATTTATAATTTTTTAAAACAGAAAATACTAGATTATGCCAAATGTACCTGATCTATGATAGATCTTTCATTTAAAAAACAAAATTCCCTTGCTACTGCTATAAACGAACCCAACACTGTGATGAGCTCTCTCTGCAGCCACTGAAAAGGCAGGTGAAGCCAGCAGCCAGCTGCTTCTGCACGCTTTTCGGGTGGGTAGTTGTTTACCCCTGGAGCCTGGGCTGCTTGCTGCCTGGCATGGGGCTCCCTGGCCCTGGGGACACAACCCACCCCTTGAGAGGAGTCGGCATGGCTAGGTGCAGCCTGGAAGGAGCTGTCTGGGGAGAGACTCGCCCAGCAGCGTGTGGAGAGGAAAGCCACTCTGAGTGCCAGAGTGACCGTCCTCATGGGGCCCATGGCCCCCACAAAGCCCTGGAAGGAGCTATTGAGATTTAATTGTGCAAACCCACGTGGCTGATGGGAAGGACACGGGAGGGGCTTTAGGGGGCTTCTTTTCCTTTCTTCTCTTTCTTTTCTCTTTTTTTCTTTTTTCCCCTGACTGATGGAATAAAAAGAAATGATGCGTCTGTCTGCTGCAGCCTGGGGACTTTCTTAGGGTTCTCTGTGTGGTGTTATTTGAAAAAAGACAAAACCCCCAAACAAAACACAGTTGTATTAACACAAAAGTCCAACTCCACGGTTGAAATCTCCCTTTCCATTCCCAAGGACGGGTTTCCCAAATGAACCCCAGCTCATCCGTGCAGACAATGGGGTCCCCAGGGAGCCGCACGTGATCAGACCAGTGAGTGAGGGGCCATCAGGCCAGCAGCCGGGTCTCTGCGACCTCCCCCAGCTCTGAGAATGAGGGATGTGAGTTTTCTATCTTCAGCCCGTATCTCCTGTGATCAAATGTGATGCCAAATGCCCAAACGATCCAGGCACGGGGCATGTCCACGTTATCGGTCCCTGATATCACTTCTGTTTGCTTGTCTTGTCCGCACCCCCACGAGACTGTTCCCCTGGTACCCAGCACAGGGTGCACAAGCCCAGCTTGCTGAACAAATACGTATGGGTGTGTGTACCTGCTCACATTGCCTCATCTCAGGTATTTTTAAAAGTTTTTGAATATCTCTTTAAAAGACATCCCTCAGCTGCTGGAATCTGGAAAACAGGTAGAATCTGGCACCAGGACCTAAAATAGGCACTTCCAGAGGAATCTGTGGGGTGCTCCAGGCCAAAGTTCTGGCTGAATTAAAGGAAAGTTGCGGGAGCTCTTACCTAAGTTATTGTATGAACCAGGTAACTGAGTGCAGCTGAATTTTGGAGTCATGAGGACACACCCTGAGGCTGTCAGAGAAAAACTGTGGATTTTCTTGGTTTTGAGGCTAAGGTGCTCTCTGTAAGCAGGGGCCTCTGGGATAAAATTTCAAGCGTGTCCACCTGGAGCTACTGCATCTGGGGCTACAGGAAGTCAAGGTGTGAGGTTTACAGAGTCACAGAGCAGAGTGAAGGCATGTGAAAGTTCCCTCAGTCCTTTGTCTTACAGATACAGAAACGAAAGCCCTGAAGGAAGGCCTGCTTGGAAGGAGAAGAGATTGTAAACCTCTTTTCCTTTATATTCGTAGCACAGCAAGACTGTATCTTGTGAAAGATTCCCTTCCCTCACTTCAGACTCAGGGTGTCCACTGTACACACGTTTTCAGTTATAAAGTTTAGCTGGATGGGCCAATGCTTTTCCCATCCCCTGGCTTGCCCAGGGCTGTGGCCGCAGGAAAAATGCTCCGGAGAAGGCGCAGGTGGCATCTGGGGTCTACATCAGCCACAGCGCAAGAGGAGGGCCTCAGTGGGGCTCCTTGGCTCAGGCTGAGGCTACAGCCCCCACATGACCTTCTGTACACACCTTGGCACCAGCCACCCGCCAGCATAATCCCAGGGCTGAGGCTGCAGAGAGGACTCCAAATTAGCCAGGAGAAGACGTGCAGAGCAGCCTCAATGCTCTCTTAGATGCTGGGGCCCAGGCCAGTGGAGCCAAGTTGAGGCACAAGAAGGATTGTGCAGTTTCCCTGTCTCCCCTGCCTCTGTGTCTTAGGACGCTGTTGCATGAGGTCGCCATAACGGTGATGGGCCGTGACCTTGCCTCCTTGATCTCACTGCATCCCTGGCCTCTTCCAAGTGCAGCTTCAGAGCTCTCCAGCCCCTGCGTGGCCTCAGTTTGGCATCGTTGGACCAGGCAGGCCTGACAGTTCCTTTGTTCCCCCCACCGTGGAGCTTAGTCAGCAGGCCTCTGTTGGACCTTGGACAGAGTGACCGAATCACAGTCATCAGGATGACATTCACTTTGCTCTGAGTCAGACTCTTAGAGCCAGCTCCGAGAACCTGGGGCTTGCATGGGAAGCACAAGCCTTGTGTTTATATTTGCTGCTGCTTCTGTGTTGGGCTTCTTATCATTTCTTATTCCATCCTGCTTGTCTTTCACCTTTCTCTTCCTAGAACAAGACTTTTTTCTCCTATGGTATTGAAACATGGTAGATATTTGAAGGGGGTAACAGAACTGGATCAAGAACAAAGACACAAGGGAATGAGGAAGCTCCTAAGGGTCCAGGGGAAGCAGAAAGGGCATTCCATGAGCGGTCAGAGACCTTGGGATAAGCTCACTGCTAACACCATGGAGCTGTGTGGCCTTAGGCAAGTTGCTTCCCCCACTCTCCTTGCCTCAGTTTCTACATCTGTAAAATGGGGATGAAATAAGCCTACTATATGGGTTTGTTGTAAGACTGGATAAAATAATGACTATCACAGAGCTTTGCATTGTCACATGGCCCAGATCTGCAGACTTCCAGCAGCCCACAGAAATTTCGCTGGCAGAAGCAATGCTATCGGACAAGTATTTCTCACAAGCATTCTCTTTATGCTAATGAGTGGTTACATAATACTATTCCAAACCTCTCCAGGTATAGTGGTTGCAGAGAGGAAATATGAGTTCCCCCTGTGGCTGGGTAGGGAGCAGGTGCAGGGGGTGGGTCTGGGCCATCTTCCGAGGATAACAAGAGACACTAAGTCAGACTCTTGGAGTGTCATGAAAGAAAGGATTATTTGAGATTGCCCTGATTCGCATGCATCATGTTTTCTATAGGAAATGCTTGGCCAACCCTTGAGAGTTTAGGGAAATTTTTAAATGACAGATTCAAGACTCCCCATCAATTCTGGATCCTGAACTTCACTCAAAAAATGATCTAAACCACTGTAGGAGGCTAGTGAGCTTTTCCCTTGGTCAAGCTCTAGGACTGATCATTTCTGAGAATAAATTAGGAGGCAGCTAAGTGATTTAATCGACAGAAATCTCTTCACCCAAACTTGCCTCTGTTACCTCCCAGCCTGCCCTGCTGCCTAAAATACCACCATGAGAGGGCAATTACTCTACCTCCTCTTAGAAGCCAATCAGTCACAGAGGGTGGCCAATATCTGTTATTAGTTACCGTGGTGTCTCAAGGCTGAATGGAGCAAATCCTGTTTTTTTAATGCATGCGTTGTTCTGCAGCTTGATCTGTTTCATTTAATATATCTTGGATATTTTTCATTTCAGGGTGTATGGACTTCTCATGTGTATTTTTGTTGCCGCATGGAGTAGGAAGGACCACAGAATAAGAAGAGTTGTCCAGCAGCAGAATAGCAGCCTTGGAAGAAAGTGAGCTTCCCATCACTGAAAGTGGCCAAGCAGACACTAACCACACAGGCATGATGAGGATTCCTGCACTGGATGAGCGGGTTATAGTCACAAGAGTAAGTAGTTGACACTTACTGAACAATTACTATATCTCAAGCATCACTCTGCATACTTTATGTGGGTTATCTCGTATGGTACTCACAGAACTCTATGAAGTAGGTATCACTATTATTTCCACTCATACATATGAGAAAATGAAGACTCAGGGAAGTTAAGAAACAGCCAAAGGTCACAAATCTAGTAAGAGGGAGAGCCTGGATTCAAACCTGGGGGAGGATGCCTCCAGGGTTCAGGCTCTCAACCTTAGTGCTATAACAACACCTGCCTTCACAGGAGGTCTCCAAGCAAGCATCCTTCCATCTTCCGGGCTCGGTGGTTCCCATTTTGCCATGAACTGCTGTCATTGGTGTTCCTGTCAAGTGGGATGTGACTGGCTGCTACCTTCCCTTGCTCAGCTAGAGCGTAAGGCCAACAAAAAATGGGCATCATTGAGGGGTGATAGGCTTCCCCTGGAGGAAGGAGAAAGCTGGATGTCCCCTCTGGGACATGCTAGCCTAGGAGGGTTGAGGGCTGCTTTTGGAGTGTGCCTCCCAGCCAACATCCAGTGCCCAGTCCTGGGGCAACAGAGACTCCCAGGGGCTCACATATCTCCCAGGGGCTGCACCAGCCACTCCTTGGGTATTTTTACTCGGTTCTCCATCTGGTTTGTGTGCACACGGCCTAGCCTCAGGCTGGGAAGATGGAACCATTGGGGGCCCGGTATGTCTTGTCTTGGCAGCTGACCGCCCGGAAGCCAGCCAGTGCCAGGACTCCCGGCCTGCGGAGAACCGGTTCCTCCAAGGCCAGCTTGCCTTCAGCAGCTCCACAGGAAAACATTCCTGCTGCCTGGATTTCCTCATAAAGGCTCATAGGTCTCTTTTACAGAAAAGGTAGAAAACAAATTCCTGGGCAGATTCCTCAGGCTAAGAACAGGCCTACGAGGTGCCATTTATCGAACACCTACTACAAGCCAAGACCTTGGCAAAATGTGACTTCTACTGTTGCTTCTGGTGCTGCTGCTACACATTCCAGGTAACACAATGGCACACACGGTCAGCCCCTGGGCTTCGCAGGAAATACATCAGGCCAGTGCAGTGGTTTAACGTGAGCCAGATGGCCCATGTCCCGATTCTAGTTCTTCTACCTCCTGACACTGTGACCTTGGGCAGTTTACCGAACCCTCCTGTGCCAAACTGTTTTTCATCTATAAAATGGGGAGAAGCATAAGAATACTATGTTGTTCAGAGAGTGAATGAAATAAGACAGATTAAGCACTTAGCATAGTATCTAGTACTTAATAAACATTATCTCCTATTATTATTAGCATCTCATTTGTTTTCACAATCATTTACTAGGTCAGTATTATGATCACCCACATTTTATAGATGAAAAAATTAAGGCACAGGGAGGTCTAGTAAATTGCCCCAAATTATACAACTAATAAATGACTGGGTCAGAATTTAAGCCCAGGTTTTTCTGACTCTGAAACCCTCACTCCTACCTTCAACTAAACTGCCTCCAAGGAATCCTAGAGCATAACACAAATATTTAGGTGTTCCTTAAATTGATTCTTGTCATTGATGTTATATGGAAATGCCAGATATTCCCACCTATAGAAATAGGCTGCTTATCTGGAGAAATTGCTTATATTGATCAAAAGGTCAAGGGCTTCCATAAAAAATTTCAATAATACATTTTTCAAAGATGTGAATGGTGGCGGATGTGAATCGAGATGTAGTGTAGTTTTCTGGAGAGATCCCTGGGCCATGTCAGGAGACCCACATTTCCTTCCTGCCTGTCACCAATTTGCCTTGTGACCCAATGAGTTATCAGCCTTCTCCAGGGTCACTTTTCTTATTTGTGGGGTTGAGATTCAATGCCCTTCAAGAGGTTTTCTGACTCAATGAACTTTTTCATTCATTCATGCAACAAGTTTTATTGACCACCTACTATGTGCCAGGAACTATTTTAGGAGCTGCAAATGCAACAGTAAACAACAATATGGATGTGGATGTGGTCCTTGCCTTCATGGAGCTTGGAGGGAGATTGAGGGAAGGAAGCTGATAAGGACCACAAAGTGACAAGTGCCCTGAAAGCACACAGCTGTAGCACCTGAGAGGAAGGCTCCTAACCCAGCTTGAGAAGCCAGGCAAGTGTTCCTGGAAGAGGGGACATTTCTGCAGTAGGATCTAATGTGGAGGGGAGTGAGGAGAGAGGATGCTGAGAGGAGGGTATGTGTGTGTATGTGTGGACATGGCACATTTGAAGAAGTAAGTGAAGGTTAGTATGGCTGTGCCTCTGAGGGTGATGGGAGAGGAGCTAGCCAAGAGGAAGCTGGAGAAGCAGGCAGCATTCTGACTTCATGCCAGACCTGGTCAACCTGGTTAATCATTTTGATTTTATCTTTAAATTGTGCTGGAGCATCTCAAGGGTTTTAGGAAGATCCTCCTGGCTCCATGGGGGAGATCAGAGCAAAGGTGGTAAGAAGGGAAGCCGGCTGACCTGTAATGTTACATTTGTGGCAGACTGCCACAGAGATGGTGGTGCCCCTGGTGTGGCGTGCAGGCCCTGGAGAAGGAAGATGAGATGCTGGGGCCGATTAGCAGGTGGAACAGGCAGGGCTCAGTCCGGTGGCTCATGTAGCAGAGCGTCAGCAGGACCATAGCAGGGGGCTGGGCACTGTATAGGGTATAGGCTCTGATCTATGGCCTGGCCACCCACAGGGTGCTGAGTGTGTCCTTCCTTCCTTTACTCTGCACATACACTCTCCTGCGGGACTGGCCCTCTCCGCGGCATCACAGGCCCCCGCTCTGCTCATAGCTCAAGCCTCAGCCTCTTGTTCAGCTCCTGAGCTGCACATCCATCCATCCATCTGGTCACCAATTGGTCATCCTGTCTTGGCCATGTCTGAGCACCTCCATCTCAATGTGTTCAGAAGGAAATCATTCATCTCTCCCACCCTTACTGTCCCTCTCTTTCTTTTGGGACCCCCATTTTTGCAAACAGCACCACTCTCCATCCAGCCTACTTTCAAACACAGGCTGTCCACAACCATAGGGAGCAGTGTGTGCCCCCTGCAAAATCACCGTGCATCCCTGCAACTTTGGGAATAGCTTCGCAGGCCGCTGCAAGGGGCGGGAGGGAGAGAGCAATTATCGGCCTTCAAGACTCCTCCCGCGCTGTTGGCAGGAATGTTTCTTTCCTGGGTGTCAATACAAGCCCAGGGTCATTTTTCAGCATTTGCCAATCGCTGTAATTGCACAGGCCCGAGTGGCTCTCCAGAGAATTCCTGCCGTTCCTCATTCTCTCCTCCTGGACTGTGCTCTATAGATGCACCCCAGGCCATGGATCATGTTTTTCACATAACCCGTTAATTACTAAAGAAAACAACCCAGCTTTCAACCTGATTAGCCCAGATTAATGGCCAGCAGCGGGTTTCACGCGCCTGCACAATTTATCACTGAAAAGAACTGTGTCTTTAATGATTTAGCTACCTGGCCGGGCAGGGCTTACTCCAGGCCGCAGGCCTCCTGGAGGAGTTAATTGCTGTTCTTCGTTTCTGACCTGGAAAGGCCCAGGTGACAGTTCCCATTAGCCAGGCTTGGCCTGCCTGATGACAAAAGATGGCAGGAGGCCCTCCCCTCCCACTTTGTTCAGAAGATACATCGAGGTCAAGTGTCCCAGCGCCCCCACCCAGCTGCCAGCTGAAACAGGTGGAATCGACCTGGAAATTTATGTTTTTTCCCTCCCCCTCTTCTGCACTTTCTTTTTTCCTTCTTGAATATGTTGAAAGAGTGAATCATTTTTGTCTTTATTAGATTTCACCAAGAATTCTAGCGCCTTTCCTAGAAATGAGAAGGAAGTTTTTTCTTCTGGTTATTTTCTGTTACATTTTAACATAATTTGGCTGTTCTCTGAGGGAGATCAAGTGACAACATTTCTTGAATCATTTATCATAGAAATATCCTTTAATGAATAGCCTCTTCGAATGTCAGAACTGGGCACAAGCATCTGATCCAAGTCTTGTCTTTTCCAGACAAGGATGCTGGGGCCGAAGGGAAAAGGAATGAAGTTATCCAAGACAACAGTGAGTGAGTGGCCACGCTGAGATTTACCAAGCCAGAACGCTTCCCAACAGCCTGAGGGTCGGCACAACTTCTTGTTTACTATTAGAATACTACCACTTACTGAATATTTACCTGTTCTAGACATCTTTTTTTTTTTACAATTGATTTTTGTATGTTGATCTTGTATATTATAAACTCGCTAAACTCATGTTTTATTACAGTTTAGTATAATTTTTATTGTTATTTTTATTTTTGAGACAGGGTCTTGTTCTGTTGCCCAGGCTGGAGTGCAGCGGCACGATCTCAGCTCACTGCAACCTCCACCTCCCGGGTTCAAGCAATTCTGCCTCAACCTCTCAAGTAGTTGCGATTACAGGCACGTGTCATCATGCCTGGCTGATTTTTGTATTTTTAGTAGGGACTGGGTTTCACCATATTGCCCAGGCTGGTCTCGAACTCCTGACCCCAGGTGATCCTCCTGCCTTGGCCTCCCAAAGTGCTGGGATTACAGGCGTGAGCCACCATGCCTGACCAAGCTTTTTTTTTTTTCTAATTATTATTAATTATTTATTTTCTAGAACCGTTTTAAATTTACAGAAAAAATGAACAGAAAGTAAAGATTTCTCATATACCCCTACTCCAATCTCCCCTGTCTTATTAACATCTTACATAGTTTGGTAAATTTTGTTACAACTGATGAACTATATTGATACATCATTATTAACTAAAGTCCCTAGTTTACACCTCTTGTTCTCACTCATAGGTGGGAATTGAACAATGAGAACACACGGACACAGGAAGGGGAACATCACACACCAGGGCCTGTTGTGGGGTCGGGGGAGGGAGAGCATTAGGAGATATACCTAATGTTAAATGACGAGTTAATGGGCGCAGCACACCAACATGGCACATGTATACACATGTAACAAATCTGCACGTTGTGCACATGTACCCTAAAACTTAAAGTATAATAATAATAATAAAAAAAAAAGAGCTCACTCTTGATGTTGTCAGCGCTATGAGTTTGAAAACTGCACACTGTATCCGTCATTACAGTTTGGTGCAGAATAGTCTCGCTGCCCTAACAATCCTCTGTGCTCTGCTTATTCATCCTTGCCCCCTCCAAATCCTTGGCCACCACAGATCTTTTCACTGTCTCTATAGCTTTGCCTTTTCCAGAATGTCATATGGTGGGATCATACAATATGTAGCCTTTTCTGACTGGCTTTATTCAAATAGCAATATTCATCAAAAGTTCCATCATATCTTTTTGTGACTTAATAGCTCACTTATTTTTATCACTGAATAATAGCATTGCATTGTCTTGATATACCACCGTTTATTTGTCCATTCACCTATCGAGGGACATCCTGGTTGCTTCCAAGTTTTGGCAATTATGAATAAGGTTGCTCTAAACATTCATGTGCAGGTTTTTGTGTGAACATAAGTTTTCAACTCATTTGAATTCAAGAAATGCTATTCCTGGATGGTAGGGTAAAATTATATTTAGCTGTGTAAAAAAGTGCCGTATTGTCTTACAAAGTGGCTGTACCGTTTCATATTATTGCCAGTAATTAGGGACAGTTCTTGTTGCTCCACAGCCTCACCACGGTTTCCTGGTGTCGGTGTTTCTAATGGTTGTCGTTCTTATAGGTGGGTGGTGGTGTCCCTTTTTTAAAATTTGCAATTCTCTAATGATGCATGATATTGAACATCTTTTCATATGCTTATTTGCCATCTGTATATCTTCTTTGGTGAGGTGTCCATTCAGGTCGTTTGCCCATTCTTTAATTGGGCTGTTTTCTTATTGTTGAGCTTTAAAGGTTATTTGTATGTTTTGGAAAACAGTCCTCTATCAGATGTGTCTTTTGTAAATATTGTTTTCTCTGTCTGTGGATTTTTCCCCCTCATTTTCTTGATGTCTTTTACAAAGCAGAAATTTCTAATCGAACGAAGTCCACCTTTTCAATTCTTTCTTTCATGGGTTGTGCCTTTGGTGTCTAAAAAGTTATCACTAAACTCAGGACCATCTAGATTTTCTCCTATGTTATCTTCCAGGAGTTTTATAGTTTTGCATTTTACATTTAGGTCTGTAATCTATTTTGTGTTAATTTTTTGTGAAGGATGTAAAGAGTGTGCCTAGAATCATTTTTTTTAACATGTGGATGTCCAATTGTTCCAGCACGATTTGTTGAAAAGACTGTATTTTCTTTGTATTGCCGTTGGTCCTTTGTCAAAAGATGAGTTGACAATATTTATGAGGGTCTATTCCTTTTTTTTTTTTTTTTTTAAGAAGACAGGCTCCAGCCAGACTGGAGCGTAGTGGCTCTTCACAGGTGCGATTCCACTACTCATCAGCACAGGAGTTTTGACTTGTGTTTTCTGACTTCAGCCAGTTCACCCCTCCTTAGGCAACCTGGAGGTCACCATATTGATGCTGAACTTAGTGTGGACACCCAATTGGCATAGTGCACTACAGCCCGGATCTCTGGGGCTCAAGTGATCCGTGAAGATCTATTTCTGGGCTGTCTATTCTGTTTCATTGATCTATTTGTCTATTCTTCTATTCTTTTGCCAATGCCACACTGTCTCTATTACTGTAGCTTTATGCTGAGCCTTGAAACTGGGCAGTCAGTCCTCTGACTTTGTTTTCCTTCGATATTGTTGGGAAGAACTGACATCTTACAATATCGAGTCCACCTATCCGTGAATGTAAAATATCTCTCTATTTATTTAGTTGGAGTTTCGTAGTTTTCCTTCTGTATATCTTTATACATGTTGTTAGATTTATACCTAAGTATTTCATTTTGAGGTGTGCTAATATTGTATAAATGTATTTTATTTTTAACTTCAAGTTCCAATTGTTTATTGTTGGTATATAGGAATGTAATTCACTTTTTTTTGTTTGTTTGTTTTGTTTTTGTTTTTTTGTGAGACAGTCTCGCTCTTGTCACCTAGGCTGCAATGCAGTGGCACAATCTCGGCTCACTGCAACCTCTGCCTCCTGGGTTCAAGCCATTCTCCTGCCTCAGCCTCCCAAGTAACTAGGATTACAGGCGCCCGCCACCACACCCAGCTAATTTTTGTATTTTTAGTAGAGATGGGGTTTCACCATGTTGGCCAGGCTGGTCTCGAACTCCTGACCTCAGGTGATCCGCTTGCCTCGGCCTCCCAAAGTGCTGGGATTACAGGTGTGAGCCACCGTGCCCAGCCATGATTCACCTTTATATATTAATCTTGTATCCTGCAACTTCACTATAACTACTTATTAGTTCTAGGAGGTGTATTGTTTGTTTTGTCAGTTCTCTTAGATTTTCTACATGGACAATCATGTAATTTGTAAATGAAGACAGTTTTATTTCTTCCTTCCTAATCTATATGCCTTTTATTTAAAACAAACATTTGTTTTGTAATGATATCCTCATGCATTTTTTTGGGGTCTATTTTTGCTTCTTTTCTTCCTTCCTTTTTTAAAGGCCTAAATTTTAATAGGACTTTAATGGATAAATGTCAAAAAAAAAAAAAAAAACCAAAAGACCCTTAACTTCTAACATTTATTTTCAAATCTTAACACTGCATTTAAATGGTTAAAGTAACACAAATTTATATATAAACCTAATAATTAGGAAGCAATGGAAAATTCTTATTCTAAGTAAAAATCATTCTTTCCTGCAGCTCAGAACTTTCCGGCAATTTTGTTTTCTTCCTCTGAAGTACTTCTTTTTAGAAATTCCTTTAGTAAGAATCTGTTGATGGCAAAATTTCTCAGTTTTTATTTGCCTGCAAATGTCTTTATCTTAGTCTTTTTCTTCAGTGATATCTTAGTTGGGTTTATAAGTCTTGATTGACAATTATTTTTCTTTTGCACTTTGTTTTTCTGTGTTTTTCAAAACCAGCTGGGCACAGTGGCACACACCTTTAGCCCCAGATATTTGAGAGGCTGAGACAGGAGGATTACTTGAGCTCAGAAGTTTGAGGCTGTAGTGTGTTATAATCATGTCTGTGAATAGCCACTGCACTTAAGCCTGGGCAACTTAGCGAGACCTCATCTCTTAAAAAAAAAAAAGTGTGTGTGTGTGTGTGTGTGTGTGTGTGTGTGTGTATTAGATCTATCTTTGAGTTCACAAATTCTTTCTTCAACTGTGCCTAACTTCATGTTTCATTTAGGTTTTTCCTCATCTGCTTAGTTTTTAATTATAATAACTATGATTTCTCATGTTTAAAATTCTTTCTGGTTGTTTTCTACAAATGCCTGGGCCCTTTTGAGATTATTTTATTCCTTGCTCATGTATTTTGATTCCCTCTTTTATTTCTGAAAACATTTCTTTTTACTTCCTTAAAACATAATTATTTTTAATTCTGTGTTCCATAGTTCATATATATGAAGTCGCTGGGAATTTAATTCTGCTTTTTTTTTGTTTCTTCTGATTCTTATTGGTGGTGGCTGGGTTTTTCATGTGTTTAAAAATTTTGACTGTGAGCTGGGTTTTGACTGTTCAGCTGGGTTTATTCGTGGGAACCCATGAGGTCTGGGTTTTGAGTGCATCCTTACAGAGAGAATACGCATTTGCTTCTCTGCCAGGTGGCCCTGTAATGGTATAACACGAGACCATTTTTAAGTTAACTCTTCCGCTGGGGGTTTCCAGTCAACAAAAAATGTGTGAATTTAATTCCTTGTGCAGATAAGTTTCATTTTCACCTTCCTTTACCAGTGGACAGTAAATCCTTTTACTGAGACTGTAGCTTTTCAGGCTTCTTACTTTATTAGGGGTCTCAGTTCCAATTTTCCAGCTTATTCAGGCTGAATATCTAGTCTTCTGTTCCCTGCAAGGCCATTAAAACTCCAGCTTGTTTCAGCGATTGGCAGATGCTCTCAGGATAGCTTTGGTTCAGCACGAACTCCCTCTTCAGTTTGGCACCTGGTGACTTCCCTTACTTCCAGGTCAGCTCAGCTCTGAATCTAAAAGTATTCCTGTAATATTTTATCCAGAATATCTGTATGCTTTATCTCAGGAGGGCTTTTCAGGCTCTCTGGTCATTTGCCAGAAATACCATAGCACGAGTTTCTTTCTAAACGTAGTCACTTTTTCACTCATTGTTAAATGTCACCTTTATTTTGAAAGGATGGATTATGGGTATATTAAAAATATCTACTAGGTAGCATACTACTGGCAGCTACCTATCACCAAACGAATAGCAAAGTTATAATAATTTGTGGGGTTTTTTGTAAGAGAAAAATGTGTACCTAAGTTCCTTGCCATGAGATGACTTATAGAATCTTCACAGTTACTTGCCATCTCCCATTTAAAATAATTACTGAATCCAACCTAATTGGACAAATATGAACTACAATGCCCTGTAATAAGCTCAGAATGATAGAGCAGATGAGGGTTTCTCCGTCTACCTGTCTAAGTTATAGACATCTCACTGACATGTCTTGGATTATGTCTGGGCATCATCAATGTTAATAAAACTTAAATTCTATGTTTTGTAATCAAATAAAAATACATAGAAGTTCTAATATTTTATTTCCTTCATGCCAGTGGCTAATCTCATCTTGGTTGGGGTAAGTTACTTCTGGCATGTAGTGGGTGGAGGCCAGGAATTCTGGCTTAAACATCCTACAATGCGCAAGACTCCCCTCCGTGGCTGAATTGTTTTGTCAAAGATGTTGAAAATGCTCAGTTTGAGAAGCACCGAGTCAGACACGGAGGAAGTGTGGCAATTTCAGGCTCTGGTTTCACTCCTCACTGCCGCCCTTCACAGTCCTCCTGATTCAGGTGTACCACGCTATGCTTCCTTCCCCAATCGTAAATATCCTCTTCGTGTCTTTTCTTCCAGAGCTTCACACACTTCATGGGCATGGTGTGTGAATTGTTTTCCAGCTGCAGCATTTCTAACTGAATCTCTGTCTCAGAGCTAGATGGTGTCCACAGGGTTCAAGAGAAGGGCACTTTTCCTAATCATTTACTTCAGGCTGTTATTCAGATGACATCATCCTTCTAAACCAAAGAGACTAGGAGGAAAAGGGGAGGGGGCGTTTACTTTTCCTGTAAAGCAAACTCCAGGTGACTGCAATACAGTATCTCACGTGGTCACAGGCTCTGGTTCTAAGAGCAAATATGAAGGTGGATGGGAAGAGATGGAGTGGAGAGTACGGGAACGGAATCAACACAGCAGGGTGTGTTTGTGTTGGGGGGAGATTTTGAAAGTCCCATATTTGGGCTGAGGAGACCCAGATGGCACCCCTGAACCTCCATGCAGCTTGGATAAGCTGGTAAGCAAGGTCCAGGGCAGACAGGCAGGCAGGAGGCCAACGAGAGGGAAACGCAGAGCTCCCAACTCCTTCCTGCAGAGGCTTGCAGGACTGTGTGCTAGAAATTAGAGGGGGCTTTTCACCTGTCTCTGTTCACTCATGACACAAACCCTTCCTTGAGGAAAGAGTCAGAGGTCAGTGAACGTGACAAAATCACCTCCCGTCGCTGTGAGGCTGGCCCGGGACTCTGCTGGCTGAGGCTAGGTAACTTGTTCCTCTCCGTGTCTCCCGTCCTGACCTCACCCAGGCCTGAGCCCGCCTTGCATCTAGAAGCTGTCTGGCCCATTAGTGTCCTTCCACTCCACAGAAGGTTCAGACTAGAAGGCTCTTGACCTCATGTACTCCTTTGCTCTGCATTTTAAACATGAAGAAACCAAGGGCATGATAGAGCTCTTTGTTCCCATTCAAGACATCTTATTTCTGAGGGCAGGTCTCCTTGGCCTGAGGGGCTTGAGAGCAGGCACTAACCTTGACTTTAGGGGCCCTAAAAAGGAAGTGAGCTGTGTCAGAAATGTGTCTGGGGCTCACCTTGGCAATGGGAGCCATTCAGCTTGTACCTAAAGGAACAGTTAGCCCAGAGTGAAACCCAATTCTTAGTTTAAAGAAACAGACGCAGAAAGACTTCTTAAGCCTGGATCAATGTCTTTCCCCACAAGGAGTGAGAAAATAAAAACAATGTTGAATCCTCTCACGCTGCTAATAAAAAGGAGACAGGGCTCAAGTGAGGGCAGCCAGGGAGCGCAGAAGGAGGCATTTTCCATTGAACTTTTTCTGCTTATGCAATAGATCTTCATTATCTACACTGTGCTGTGGCTCTCCAGCTCCCCCAGGGAGATGCTTAATGACATAAACTGCTTAATAAGCAGTGACTGGTGCCCCGGAAGAGCCGATGGAAGAGGAAAGCGGCCTGCTCCTATCTCCTAGTGTTCTGCATTTCTCTCTCACAGCTGATTTCAGATACTGGCCAGAGGGAGATAAAGGGCAGCTGGCTTCCCAACCAGACCAGCAGCATTTGCCCTGTTGGAAGGCTGGCTTCAGGCAACATTGCCACTCACTTTCCCTCATGAGGGGAAACGCGGCCTCCATTTTTTGTGCTCTTAAGCAAGAATTTCCTACTTTGGTGCTGTCTGTCTTAGGCTCCACCCAGAAGCCTCATTCACTTTTCTGAGATAGCGTCTTGCTCTGTCACCCAGGCTAAAGCGCAGTGGCATGATTTCGGCCCACTGCAACCTCTGCCTCCTGGGTTCAAGTGATTCTCTTGCCTCAGCCTCTCGAGTAGCTGGGACTACAGGTGTGTGCCACCATGCCTGGTTAATTTTTGTATTTTTAGTAGAGATGGGGTTTCACCATGCTGGCCAGGGTGATCTCAAACTCCTGGCCTCAAGTGATCTACCCACCTCAGCCTCCCAAAGTGCTGGGATTACAGGTATGAGCCACTGTGCCTCGCCATCATTCACTTTTATTTACCAAACATGTATTGCCGGGTAATTTTCTATGTGCTTACAGGTATTCATCTACATAAGCTGGGCGCAGTGGCTCACACCTGTAATCCCAACACTTTGGAAGGCAAAGGCGGGAGGATTGCTTGAACTCAGAAGTTCAAGACCAGCCTGGACAACATAGCGAGACCCTGTCTCTACAAAAAATACACAAATTAGCTAGGCATGGTGGTGCACACTTGTAGTCTCAGCTGCTTGGGAGGCTGAGGTGGGAGGATGACTTGAGCCTAGGAATTCAAGGCTACAGTGAGCTATGTTCACGCCACTACACTCTTGCCTGGGCGACAGAGTGATGCCCTGTCTCCAAAAAGGAAAAAAAAAATGGGTCACAGAGTTAAGTTCTATTTCTAAGCTCATTTTAAAGATGAGGAAACTGAGGCACAGAGAGATCAAATCTGCCCAGCCGCAAGGAACATGGTGGCTTTCCTATACTCCTAACCTCTGTTCTGGGCCGGGCCTGGCACTATGTTTCTCTCTGCTCTCCCCTGGGCCCACTCTGCACATGCTCCTCTTTCTCCTGAAGCCCTCCCAGGCTGCTCCCCTTCCCCCGCTCTCCTTGCCACTCTCAGCCTGTATCTCAGGTTCTACTGACCTCCTCTCAGGTACATTCTCATCTACACATTTTCAGCTAGTTCACTGTCCAAGATTTTCCTCCAAGATCAAAAATCAAGAGGAGACATTTCTCTCTCAAGGCAAAATCCTGAAAAACTGTCAAGGATGATAACACAGAGATATTGTCCTAATGTCGTTTATAACATTGAAAAATTGAGAACAGCATTAGTGTTCAGTAATAAGGGATCTGTTAACAAAATAAGGAGTATCATGCAACCATTAAAAATGCATATTTCTGGAAGGCTTTAGAGAGGGAATATGTTAAGGGAGAAAATGAGACTCACATTCGATATAGCACAAGGGCGAATGGGAGGGATGTGGGGGTCTATGGGCAAGTTATCACTGACCCTATTAAGAATTGCTGTCGCTGGGTAATGATAAAAAGCAGACCACTTTTATTTGATTTTATTATTGTTTTAAAATTTGCTACAGATGATCTACCTCCTTGTCGCCTGTACCCAGGGGCAACTGCTCTCACCAGGCCTCCCCACTTGGTATGTCACTGCTGTCATTTTGTCCATCGTGTGCCATTTAATTGCTCATTCAAAATCTTTCTTATAGAACTTCAATCACTGTGAGATCATTTCTCTGCTGATTAAGGAGGTTGAACATACTTTCATGTGCTTATTGGCCATTGATATGTCTTCTTTTGTGATTCAAAATAATTTTTTTTTCTTTTTAATGCTGAATTGTAGGCGTTCTTTATGTGTTCTCGATACAAGTTCTTAGTGGAACATCTTAACAAACTGTGGCTTGTTTTTCATGTTTTTAAAATTTTATGAGCCCAAAATTTTAATTTTCTTAAAGTTCAATTCATTAATTTTTAAATTTCATAATTAGTGCTTCAGTGTCCTGTTTTTAAGAAATCTCTGCTTACACCAAAATGCCAAAAGTATTCTGCTTTTTTTGGAGATGTTTCATAGTTTTAGCATTTAGTTTGATATCTAGGATTCATCTCAAATTAGTTTTTGTGAATTGTGTGAGATAGGAGTTGTCATTCATTTTTTTCTAGATGGTTGTGTAGTTATTCCAGCACTATTTATTGAAAAGACTTTTCTTTTGCCATTGATTCGCTTTGGTGCCTTTGTCAAACTTTGATTATACATACCAGATGCTTCTAGATTCTATTCTGTTCTCTTGATCAGGTAATTTTGTCTATCCAATAAACTTAGTAAAATACAAGTAATTTCATAGTAAGTCTTAAAATCAAACAGTATAAGTCCTCCCTATTTGTTTTCTTTTAAAAGATTGTTTTAAATAATGTAGGTTCTTTGAATTTTCATATAAACTTTAGAATCAACTTTTCAATACCTACAAAAATCCTTATTGGGAATTTTATTGAAATAGTGCTGGGTCTAGAAATCAATTTTGCAGAATTGATATTGTAACAATATTGTCTTCTAGTGCATGAATATGGTAAAAAGTCTCCATTTGTTTTCAGTCATCTTTAATTTCTCTCAGCAATGCTTTAGATTTTTAATGTGGAAGTTATAAATGTCTTTTGTTATTTTTTCCTGAGTGTTTTATATTTTATCTCATTATTAATGGAATTATCTTCATTATTTCATTTCCAATTTCTTGCTACTGGAATACAGAGATACAATTAACTTTGTATATTGACCTACAACCTTACTAAATATACTTAATACACTTGTTAGATCTAGTAGCCATTTTTAAACTATTCCTTATGGTTTTCTATATAAACAGTCATATTGTCTAAAAATAATGTCAATTTTACTCCTTCTTTTCCACAACTTCATAGCTTTATTTTTCTTTTTTAATGAACTGGATAAGATATCTAATACAATTTTGAGTAGAAGAGGTAAAAGTGGTCATCCCAACCTTGTTCCCAATATTAAGATGTAAAGCATTTGAATTTTTACCATTACATAAGATCTAACCTTAAGTTTTACATAGATGCCTAGTGCTAGGTTGGCTGAGGAGTTTTCATTCTTTTTCTTGTTTACTTATTTTACTTTCCTCCCATAAATGGATATTCAATTTATCAAATGCTTTGTCTGCAGCTATTGAGATAATCATATGATTTTTGTTCTTTTCCTGTTAAAATTGTAACATATTTTCTATTACTTTTTTAAAGATTTTTGTATCTAATTTCTTGAGAAAGTTTGGTAATTTTCTTTTCTGTAATGTCTTTGTCACTTTTGGCATCAGAAATGATTGACCACGTAAAGTGAGTTGGGAAGTAATTCTTGCTCCTCCTCTATTTTATGAAAGAGTTTGTAGGAGATTGGCATTATTTTTTCCTTTAATGTTTGGTAGAATTCTTCAGTGAAGCTGTCTGAAGCTGGAGGAGTTTTTTTGTTGTTTTATTTGTTTGTTTGTTTTTGTGGGAAGGGCTTTAACCACAAATTTGATTTTCTTAATAGATATAGGGCTATTCAGGTTATCTATTTTTTCTTGAGTGAGCTTTGGTAGTGAGTTTTTTTCCTTGTATCTTTCAAGGGATTTGTGCCTTTCATCTAAGGTGTTAAATCTATTGGCATAAAGTTTTTCATAAGATTCTCTGAGTGTCCTCCAGAAATTCATAGAATCTGTAATTGTATTAGTGTTTTCTCACATTGCTATAAAGGAATACCTGCTACTGGGTAATTTAGAAAGGAAAGAGGTTTAATTGGCTTATGGTTCTGCAGGCTGTACGGGGAGCATGGTGGCATCTGCTTCAGGGGAGGCCTGAGGGAGAAAGGGGGTGGTGGGGTGGAGGTGCCACACACTTTTAAACAACCAGATATCACAAGCACTCACTTTCTCTAAGACAACGCCAAGGGGGATGGTGTTAAACCGTGAAAAACCACACCTATGATCCAATCCCCTCCCACCAAGCCCCACCTCCAACGCTGGGGATTACAATTCAACATGAGATTTGAGAGGGGACACAGATCCAAACCAAATCAGAAGTGGTATCACTTTTCTATTTCCTGATAGAGATAGTTTGTTTCATGCTTTTTATGAAACCTCTTATCAGTTTGACCAGTAATTTATCAATTTTATTGATCTTGTCCAAGAATCAGTATGTGGGTTTATTAGTTTTTCTCTATTTTTAAGTTACATTTCATTGATATCTCCTCTGATCTTCATTATTCCCTTCCTTCTGCATGTTCTGGGTTTGTTTGCTTTCCCTTTTCTGATTTCAAAGGCAGAAGTGGAGGCCATTCATTTAGAACTTTCATTTTTTCCAAATATTGTCATTTTGTGCTAAAAACTCAGTCTAAATACTGGTTTAGTTGCTTTCCATAAATTTTTAATATATTATGTTTTAACTTTTATTCAGTTAAAAATACTTTTAAATTTTCCCATTAATTTCTTCTCTGACTCAAATATTAGTTTCTAAATATTTGGTTATTTTTCATATATATTTCTGTTATTGATTTCTAATTTAATTCCATTGTGGACATATAATATACTTGTATGACCTGAATCCTTTAACATTTATAAAAAACTTTTAAAACGATACTGAATAATGACTATCTTGCTTACATTTTCTGTGTCTCTTGAAAAGAATATGTATTCTGCTGTTGTTAGGTGGAGTGTGCTATTAAATATCAATACAATAATTGGTGAATAGTGTTTTTTAAGCCTTTTATATTTTTATTTTTGTTTACTTGTTCTATCACTTATTGAGAGAAATATTAAAATCTCTGAGCACAATTGTGTTCCTTTCCCTGCAATTTGATCAGTTTTTTAAAAACTCTGTTATTAGGTGCATAAATGTTTAGGACTATTGTGCCCTCTTGATGAAATGACTTTTTTATCGTATAGAATGACTTTTTTCATTCTTGTCAATATGCTTTTCTCTAAAACCTACTTTGATTGAGATTAACATAGCGCATCAGCTTTTTAATTGTTGTTTACTTTAACATGTTTTGTTAAATTTGTTTTATTTTTAACCATTTGTATCTATATATTTAAGGTAGGTTTCTTGTAGGCAACATACAGTTGGTTTTTCCTTTTTTTATCCAATCTGAAAATCTCTGCTTGTTAATTGGGGTGTGTAGGCATCTACATTTAATTATTGGCAATGTTGGAATTAAATCTAACATCTTATTTATTTTCTATTTTTTTCCATCAGTTATTTGTTCCCTTTTACTTCTTCTCCTGTCTCCTTTTTGGATTAATTTAGTATTTTGTATGATTTGTACTTATCTCCTTTGTAGACTTATTAACTACACCCTTTTCTCTTGTTATTTTAGCTTTAGGGTCTATATTATATATCTTTACCTTACCACAGCCTACCTTTAAGTGATACATCATGTCATGTATAAGAACCTTAAGTATATTTTCCATTTCTTCTCTTCCTGCATTTGTGCTATTGTTGTTATACATTATATTTCTACATATATAATAAGCACCACAGTATACTGTTATTATTTTTACTTTAAACAATTATTTTAAAGAAATACAAAAAAATTTTAAAAAGTCTTTATATTTACCCATGTAGTTAGTATTTTTGGAGCTCTTTCTTACTTTACATAGATCCATATTTTCATCTAGTATCAGTTTCCTTTTGTTTGGTTGACTTCTTTTATTCCTGCCTAAACTTTTCTTCATCTGAAAACATTTTTATTTCACCTCAATTCAAAAAAAAATTTATTTTCTGGTTAAATATTTCAAAATTGACTTTTTTTCTAATACTTTAAAGATATTGCTCCATTGTCTTCTAGTTGCATTAATTCTAACAAGAAATCTGTTTTCTTCTTCTTCTTTTTTTTTTTTTTTGAGACGGAGTCTCACTCTGTCACCCAGGCTGGAGTGCAGTGGTGTGATCTCAGCTCAGTGCACCCTCTGCCTCCTGGGTTCAAGCGATTCTCCTGCCTCAGCCTCTGGAGTAGCTCTGACTACAGCTACATGCCACCATGCCCGGCTAATTTTTTGTATTTTTAGTAGAGACAGGGTTTCACTGCATTAGCCAGGATGGTCTCGATGTCTCCATCTCCTGACCTTGTGATCTGCCTGCCTCAGCCTCCCAAAGTGCTGGGATTACAGGCATGAGCCACTGCACCTGATCCTTTTTTTTTTTTTTTTTTTTTTTTTAAGACAGGGTCTCACTCTGTCATCCAGGCTACAATGCAGTGACATGATCAGGGCTCACTGCAGCCTTGATCTCCCAGACTCAAGTGATCCTCCCATCTCGGCCTCCCAAGTAGCTGGGACTACAGGCATGTGCCATCAGGTCTGGCTAATTTTTGTATTTTTCTTTTTTTGTAGAGATGGGGTTTTGCCATTTTGGCCAGAGTGGTCTCAAACTGCTGGGGTCAAGCAATCCACCTACCTCTGCCTCCCAAAATTCTTGGATAACAGGTGTGAGCCACCATACCCAGCCAAGAATATGTTGTCTTCTTATGGTTGTTCTTCTGCATGTAATGTGTCTCTTTTTTATGGTTACTTTTTAAATTTTCTCATTTTCACTAGTTTTAACTAATTTAATTACCATGGTCTTTGGTGTGGTTTTCTTGATGTTTCTTGAGCATGTTACGTATTTCTGATTGAGCTTCATGGCTGTGGTCTTATAGTTTTTATCAAATTTGGAAATGTGCCAGCAGATATTTTTTAAAATATTTTTTCAGTCACTGCCCTACCCCTGAGACTCTAATCTGTACATTTGATTTGGCTGTTTTAAGTTGTCCCAAAGAACAAAGCATCCAGTGATGCTTTGTTCTCTCTCCTGCCCCATTTTTTTCTGTGTGTTTTATTTTGGTTAGTTTTTATTGCTGTGACTTCAAGCTCACCAACTTTATCTTATGCAATGTTTAATCTACCATTAATCATATCCACTGAATTTTTTATCTCAGATATTGTAGTTTCCATCTTTTGAAGTTCAATTTGGGTCTGTATAAATATAGACCCAAATTATTTATATGTGTGTGTGTGTGTGTGTGTGTATACAAAAATCTGAGTGTATACACACACACACACACATATTTATACATGATTTTCCATGTCTCTAACATATTCAGTTTTTCCTCTAGTTTCTTGAAAATATGAAATTAAGTCATAATAACTTTTTTAATGTTCTTGTTTACTATTAATACTGCATCATTTCTGGGTCTGTTTTTTGTTTGTTTTGTTTTTGAGAGACAGGATCTCACTGTGTTGCCCAGGCTAGAATGGAGTGGCATGATCATAGCTCACTGCAACCTTGAACTCCTGGGCTCCAGTGATCCTCCCACCTTAGTCTTCCAAGTAGCTAGGAGACTGCAAGCACAGATCACCATGACTAGCTAGTGTTTTTGGTTATTATTATTATTTTTTAAAGTAGAGATGACGTCTCTATGTTGCCTAGGCTGGTCTTGAACTCCTGGGCTCAAGTGATCCTCCTGCTTCAGCCTCCCAAACAAAGTGCTGGGATCACATGTGTGAGCCACCATGCCAGGCCCTGGGTCAGTTTTAGTTGATCAATTTTTTCACCTTGTTATGACTTTTTTTTTTTTCACACCTTGCATGCCTACTATTAATACTTTTTTATTGAGTGCCAGACATTTTGAGTTTTAGCTTGTTGGATGCTGGATATTTTTGTACCCCTATAAATATTCTTTCACTTCTAATTAAGATGCATAAGAAAAACCAGATTTACCCTTACAGATAACCCTTCTTTTTACTCTACCTGATAGATTCATAACTACGAGGCTTTTCATCCTAGATTTTGGGAACAGGCACTATTCCTAACTCTATGTGAGCCCTGAGTTCTATTTCAGTAATTCCTTTGTGTTGTCTTTCCCCAGCTTCTGGTATTTTTCTCACATATGTACACTGACCAGCATTCAGCTAAAGATTTATGGAGAACTCTCTAAGACTCTTCAGAGCTCTCTCTTTGTGTAATTCTCCCCTCTCAAGTGTTCTGCCCCATGACCTCTAGCTGTCTTGTCCACATTTAACTCTCAGCTCCATCTTCTCAACTCATGAGAGACCACTGGGCTCTCTTTGGGTTCTCCTTCTTTGTGCCCTGGCTTCGAAATCTTCTCCAGGCAGTAAGCTGGGGGCAATGGTAGGGCTCATCTCATTTGTTTCTAGTCCCCTTTCTGTCCTTCACTGTTTAATGTCCAATGCCTTGAGTGCTATCATTTAATATATTTTGTCTATTTTTCAGTTGTTTTTGCTGTAAGAATAAATCTGGTCTTTATTCCTCATTGATATGGTTTGGCTGTGTCCCCACCCAAATCTCTTCTTGAATTGTAATCCCCATAATCCCCATATGTCGTGGGAGGAATCTGGTGGGAAGTAATTTGATCATGGGGGTGGTTTCCCCCATGCTGTTCTCATCATAGTGAGTGAGTTCTCATGAGATCTGATGATTTTATAAGTTTCTGGCATTTCCCTTGTTGGCACTTATTCTCTCCTGCTGCCCTGTGAAGAGGTGTCTTCCGCCACGACTGTAAGTGTCCTTAGGCTTCCCCATCCATGCAGAACTGTGAGTCCATTAAACCTCTTTTCTTTACAAATTACCCAGTCTCAGATATTTCTTCATAGCAGCATGAGAATGGACTAATTACAATAAATTGGTACCAAAGCAGTGGGACGCTGCTATAAGGATACCCAAAAATGTGGAAGTGTTTTTGGAACTGGGTAACAGGCAGAGGTTGGAACAGTTTGGAGGACTCAGAAGAAGAGAGGAAACTGTGGAAAAGTTTGGAACTTCCTGGAGACTTGTTGAATGGCTTTGACCAAAATGCTGATAGTGATCTGGACAATGAAGTCTAGGCTAAGCTGGTCTCAGGTGGAGATGAGGAACTTCTTAGGAACTAGAGCAAAGGTGACTCTTGCTATGCTTTAGCAAAGAGACTGGCAGTATTTTGCCCCTGCCCTAGAGATCTGTGGAACTTTGAACTTGAGAGACATAATTTGGGGCATCTGGCGGAAGAAATATCTAAACAACAAAACATTAATCCAACAAATGAGGTGCCAATTCTTTAGGGAGAAAATTGTAAAAGTTTATTAACAGATACTAAAGAAAACCTAAATAAATATGCAGAGCTATACCATGCTCCAGGATAAAAATACTCAATATCATAAAGACATCATTCTCACCAAAAAAAAAGAAAAAAGAAAAAAAACATTAAATAGGAAGCAGGGCACAAAAGTTTGGAAAATTTGCAGCCTGATGATGAGATAGAAAAGAAAATCCATTTTCTGGGGAGTAATTCAAGCTGGCTGCAGAAATTTGCCACAAGTAATGAGCAGCTTTACATTAATCACCAAGACAATGAGGAAAATATCTCCAGGGCATGTCAGATAACTTCATGGCAGCCCCTCTCATCACAGGCTCAGAGGCCTAAGAGGGAAAAATGGTTTCATGAGCCTGGCCCAGGACATCACTGCTGTGTGCAGCCTAGGGACTTGCTGCCCTGTGTCCCAGCTGCTTCAGCCTCACCTATGGCTAAAAGGGGCCAAGGCACAGCTCAAGCCCTTGCTTCAGAGTATGCAAGCCCCAAGCCTTGGTAGCTTCCACATGGTGTTGAGCCTGTGGGTGCACAGAAGTCAAGAATTGAAGTTTGGGAACCTCTTCTTGATTTCAAAGGATATGTGGAAAAGCTTGGATGTCCAGGCAGATGTCTGCTGCAGGGGCCCTCATGGAGAACCTCTGCTAGGGAAGTGTGGAAGGGAAAGTGGGGTTGGAGCCCTGGCACAGAGTCCCCACTGGGACACTGCCTAGTGGAGCTGTGAGAAGAGGGCCACTGTCCTCCAGACCCCAGAATGGTAGATCCACCAACAGCTTGCACCATGTGCTTGGAAAAGCTGCACTCAATGCCAGCCCATGAAAGCAGTCATGAGGGGGCCTGGATCCTGCAAAGCCACAGGGGCAGAGCTGCTCAAGGCCATGGGAGTCTCCTTCTTGCATCAGCATGACTTGGTTGTGAGACATGAAGTCAAAGGAGATCATTTTGGAACTTTAAGATTCAATGACTGCCCTACTGGATTTCGAATTCACTATACATGTTTGTTTTTTTTTTTTAGTAATTTCTCTAGGGTTTACAATAAATATGTTTAATTTCTCACAGTCTACTTTCAACTTGTATTTTACTACCTTATGTATTATGTAAAAACTTTATAGCAATACACCTGCATTTTTCTTCTTCCATTCTTTGCACTTAGTTGATATACATTCTATTTTGTTAAATATTATAAACTCCACAATATTGTTTCAACAGCCAATGATCTTTTAAGTAAATTAAACAAAAGTAAATAAATCCCTTTATATTTATTTACATAATTGTTATTTATGACATTTTAAATTTCTTTGCTTAGATCTGAGTTTCTATCTTTTACTTTTATCCTCCTGCATAAAGTACTTTCTTTAATATTTTTCATAGCACATTTCTGCTGATAAGTTTGCTCAGATTTTGTTTGGTGAATGTTGTTATTTTGCCTTTAGTTTTGATATTTTTGCTAGATGTAGACTTCAGAGCTGAGAGAGTATTATTTTCTCATTGTTGTTTTCCTTCTGTACTTTAAAATCCATTTTATTGATTCCGGGCCTTCATTGTTTCTGAAGAGTTCAGCTGTCATTCATATCATTGTTTGCCTTGTATGTAATCTGCTTTTGTCCTCTAGCTACTTTTAAATTTTTTCTCTGTATTGTTCATTTTCAAGTTTGACCATCCCATGCCTGAATGTAGATCTATGTGTATTTATGTGTATACCATGTGTATTTGTGATTCAATGTGTTTACTGAGCATTTTTGATTGGTATTTTAATGGTTTTCACTAACTCTGGGAAATTTTCTAGCCATCACTTCTTTAAATATTTTTTTTCTGTTCCATTTCTCATCTCTTCCCCTCTGACACCTTAATTTCACATATGTCAGACTGCCTGGTATTTCCCTACACATCATGGAGAATCTGTTTAATCTTTTTTATCTCTTTAAACTGTTTCAAGTTGAACAATCTCAAAAGGCCTATTTTCAAGTTCATTAACCCATTCTCATGTAGTCTGCAATCTGCTATTAAGCTCATCTAGTAGAATTTTTAATTCTACACATTTTTCTTTGCGGTTTTGGTAATTCTGTTTGGTTCTTTTTTATTGTTTCCATTTCTCTGCTGAGATTTCCTATATTTTTATTTAAATCACTGAATGTGTTAATAACTTTTACATTTGAAGTCTGGTCTGTTAATTCTAACACCTGGAGCATCTCAGGGTCTATTTCTATTGATTGATTTTTTTTTTCTTGAATTTAACTGGGTCACATTTTCCTATATCTTCATGTCTGATAATTTTTTATTGTTTGTTCTCTGACATGGATAATATAGGGAGTCCAGATTTTGTCACCTTCTTTTAAAGGACATTGAATTTTGTTCTTGAAGGCAGTTAAGTGTTTGGAATATAATTTTGGTCCTGTTAGAGTTGTTTCTTTTTCTTTGTGAAAGTGGGCGTATTTTTTTTTATTCCATTTCCCCTCTAATCCCTGCATTGTTGAAGGGATCTATTTTTGTATTGAGCTTAGGTTTAGAGCTGGCCCTTACTATACAGCATGGTTCTTCATCTCAAGGCATAACCTTTTTAGAATCTCAACTGAATCTTCAAAATGTTCTGCTTGGGACAGAAGTCCAACGTCTCTCAGCAAAGCAGGACTTCTGGTTTCTCTGTTCAGCTCCCAGTCCTGCAGCATGTGACCCTTGCTAGGCCTTGTGTATGGGCAGCTGAGTTCTCAGCCACAGACCCACAGTCCATCCCCATGCAGACTTCAGTGGCCTGATTTTCTGTGCAGTATCTTCTTTTCTGATATCCCACCCCACAAATTTCAGCCATGTCTATATCCCAAAGCTTCAATCTCTGCCTCCTTAGCTCTTTTTATTGCAGCAGGAGAATTTCCTTGGGAAAAAAACTGGGGTGACCATGGAACTCACGTCATATAGTTCACTTGTCTCCCAAATCACATTCCCCTATTGCCTATTGCTCCGTGTCTGAAAACATTTGCCTCATGTGTTTTTCCCCATTTGTAGTTGTTTTAAGTGAAGGCAAGTTATGTACCAGTTACTATGTCAGGATCAGACACAGAAATCCCCATGTGTTTTTAATTCTTTGCAAGATTAGTCTTCCTGATGATGCAGAGTGGTAGGATCCAATTTCTCTTAAACCATTGTAATATTCTTTAACAAGACCCCTTTGCTTAAAGCAAGGAAGTCATGTGTCACTCAACCTTGGCTGACTGAATGATTTAACTGAGAAAGTTTATAGGGATTAACTAGAAACTGGCCAACATGTACTATAAAAAAAGAAATGGTTGCTTTATTACTAAACACAATCTTTTCTGACTGCAAACTCCCAAAAAGGGAGATGTTCAGCATTGGGCAGACTTATTCTACTAATTTTCTCTCTTACACCCAGGAAATAAACGTGGTGTTGGACTGCATGGAACCACTGTTTTCCACTATACTCATCACCTTCTGCTGAATCTCTCTTTCTAGGTTAACAGAAAATTGGGCTCCATGTGAAACCTGTAAGCACTGAATGTACTTGCAAAAACCTATCTTAGCATAAGTTGTCACTTTGTCACTGCCCAGTGTAAATTAGTCTCATGTGTTATTCTTGCCTTCAGCTCCCTCTTCTTTTACTTCAGAGCTCTTAAAATTATTTGTAATTACACATATATGTATTGCTCATTTTTAGCCTCTCCCAGTAGATTATAAGCTCTGTGAGGGCAAAAACCTTGTGTGAAGCCCCAGTCTAGCATAGTGACTGATAAATAGGAGGAGCCAAGAATAATTTGTTGAATGAATGATTAAATGAATGAATCCACAAATAAGCAGATCCTTTTGGTATTAGACTAAAATAGATGAAAACAGAAGGCCTTAAAGATTAAAAGAGAAATAAATTAGCTCCTAAATACCCATGGTTTTTATTCTTCAAGGCACAAAGACCTCTTAGCCAGAGATGCCTGTGAGGAGCAACTTTCAATAGGAAACTGAAGAATTGATCACAAGATGTTGCTGTTACTGAGAACTGGCCATGAGAGCATCTGCCCATTCTGTAGGGGCAGTGTATTAGTCCGTTTTCACATGGCTATAGCGATACTACCTGAGACTGGGTAATTTATGAAGAAAAGAGGTTTAATTGACTCACAGTTCTGCATGGATGGGAGGCCTCAGGAAGCTTACAAACATGGTGGAAGGTAAAGGAGAACCAGGCACCTTCTTTACAAGGTGGCAAGAGAGAGAGAAAGAGAGAAAGGGGGGAACCGTCAAACACGTTTTTTTTTTAAGATGGAGTCTCGCTCTGTCGCCAGGTTGGAGTGCAGTAGCCCGATCTCAGCCCACTGCAACATCTGCCTCCCAGGTCCAAGCGATTCTCCTGCCTCAGGCTCCCAAGTAGCTGGGACTAGAGGCACACGCCACCACGCCCAGCTAACAATAATAATTTTTTGTGTTTTTAGTAGAGACGGGGTTTCACCATGTTGGCCAGGATGGTCTTGATCTCTTGACTTCATGATCTGCCTGCCTTGGCCTTCCAAAGTGCTGGGATTACAGGCATGAGCCACCGTGCCCGGCCTGTCAAACACTTTTAAAGCATCAGATTTTGCCCACCAGGTCCCTCCCTTAACATGGGGATTACAATTCCAGATGAGATTTGGGTGGGGACACAGAGCCAAACCGTATCTGGCAGCTATGGTCAAACCAGGCTTTTGTGACACACTAGATTTGGACTCCCCAGTTTGTATCCTATAATTTCTCTCCCAACAGCAGCACATACTAGGAAAGAACTTCCTGCTGTCTATGAGAGGGCTCAGCATGCATGGATTTTAATGACTCCCAGGACACTAAAGGCTCTACATGTGGCCCAGATGACATCTTGTCTTCTCTTGGTTATGGTGGCAAATGAAAACACCAACAAAGGCAGGGTACTCTATTTTTTTTTTTTTAGAGACAGAGTCTCGCTCTGTGTAGTGGCACAATCTCAGCTCACTGCAAGCTCTACCTCCTGGGTTCACCCACCATTCTCCTGCCTCAGCCTCCTGAGTAGCTGGGACTACAGGTGCCTACCACTATGCCCAGCTAATTTTTATATTTTTAGTAGAGACGGGGTTTCACTGTGTTAGCCAAGATGGTCTCGATTTCCCGACCTCGTGATCCGCCTGCCTTGTCCTCCCAAAGTGCTGGGATTATAGGCATGAGCCACCGCGCCCAGCCAAGGGTACTCTTTGACTGAAGGAGCCCTGGACACAGAACACTAAGGACCATTTGGTGAAAACTTCTCATCTTATGTGTGTGGAAGCTTAGTCTAGAGACCAAGGTGGGACAGAATGACCCCTAGATCACATAATGGTAAAAGACATCATGAGGACTAATTTCCAGGACCTCAACCTTCTAGTTCAGGCTGTATTGTTTATTTGTTTCCCTCCCCTTTACCTTTCCATCCATCCAGGCTGGATTTTATCTTGGATCACCTTAAAGAAAGAGCATGACATTTTCTAATCCAGTGTGACAGGACAAAGTCTGAAAAGATGCCTTTCTGTTTTGGCAACACACTCCTAAGTAAGTTTGACATTTCCAGAGAAATGACACCTTGGTCAAAAGTCCAATGACAGTTTGGAATCAGAAAAGACTGTACTGCAGAGTATGGTAGCAAGGAGCAAGCACTAGCTCAGGAATTTAGAGGCCTGGGCACAGCCTGTTTCTGACTATTGTGTCAACAAGGGGAAGTCCTTTCTTTCTCTGCCTCTTAGTTTCAGCATTCATAAAATTAGAGGCTGGAATAGATAAAGGATAGAATCTCTGCCATTCCATTGTACTTACATGTTGTTCTAAACCAGGAGCACGGTTGGAGGAAACGTATACTGCTACTGTATAGATTTGTAGAATCTGTTTCTCTGTATGTTCTCAGAAACAGAAAAGATCCCTATTTCTGAAGAAATACACATACGAACGCCTACATGTGCATCGGAAATAAACAGTCTGAAAAGTCGGTTGATGTGGACATCCTGGAGAAATCTACAAAGCTGCTGCCATCCCAAAGGCCATTTCCTACCACAGGGCAGATGAGCATCAGCTTCCCCAGAAGACCCCTCCAGTGGGGTTTAGGCTATCAGGATTCCAGAAGACCCCTCCAGTGGGGTTTAGGCTATCAGGATTCCAGAAGACCCCTCCAGTGGGGTTTAGGCTATCATCAGGGTTCCACGTCTAGCTTCTCCTCTGATCTGCTGCGAGGCTACCCAGCTCTCTCTCCTGATGGAGATTAATTTACAAGTTAAAAAAATAAAGACGGAAACAAACTATTCACAACTATTGTTTGTATCCTAGGATGAGAGTTGAGGTTGAAGACAAAAATATAAAGTTTAAAAACAATGTTTAGGGGGATAAACTGTAACCAGTTCAAATACTCTATCAAGGATAGTTCTGTATAAAGTTCTTTCAAATCGTATAAATTATTTAAGAATGATTCTTACAAACATAAGCAGATTCAGCTATGGCAAATGGAACCCTGATGAAACTGGTCATTAATTGTGACCATCACAAAATTGTCAGCCATTCCTGTTCGAATATATGTGACTTTTTATATAAGAAGACCTGGCGCAGGCCGGGCGCGGTGGCTCACACCTGTAATCCCAGCACTCTGGGAGGCCGAGGCAGGCGGATCACGAGGTCAGGAGATCGAGACCATCCTGGCTAACACGGTGAAACCCCATCTCTACTAAAAATACAAAAAATTAGCTGGGCGTGATGGCGGGCGCCTGTAGTCCCAGCTACTCGGGAGGCTGAGGCAGGAGAATGGCGTGAACCCGGGAGGCGGAGCTTGCAGTGAGTGAGCCGAGATCCCGCCACTGCACTCCAGCCTGGGCGAGAGCGAAACTCCGTCTCAAATAAATAAATAAATAAATAAATAAATAAATAAATAAATACCTGGCGCAGAGGTATTGAATATGCATAACTGAAAATATACAGTGTATACTATCATAAATACAGAAGAACATGTGGGTCTTCACTGTCTGTTCTTACAGAGGAATCCAGTAGCTGTCTCACATCTTCATGAGATGTCTGCTAATGTGGGGTTGGAGGCAATGAAGAATGCTGGGTACAATTGACATAAGGGAGTTTTCAGAAGGCAAGGGAAAATATTCTGGGTATAATTAAGGAACCTGGAAATTAACAACTTGATGTCATTAAAAGTTGAGGGGAAAGTGGAATAAGCCCTTTTGTTCATATATGACTATAAAAATATGTTTTTGCATGATTTTGAAATGTCAGTCCTAGTTAGAGTTGGGCTTTTCAAAGTGTACTAACTCTCAGAACATATAATGTGATGGAGTTGTTGTAGGATATTCTCAGGGTCTTCTCCGGTCAAGCATTCTCAGAGTTGGGCAGAGGGAACACCTGGCCTTGGCTGCAAAGTGGCCTTCCTAGGACTCTGCCTGCTCCCGGATGAAGCACTGCTGACCTGCAAGCTCACTGGGCTGCCGACAAGCTGCTGCGGAATCACAAGAAATTGGGAGATCCCTTCAGGAGTGAGGAAAATGGGATGCTTCCTCAGCCCAGGGAGGATGTGGAGCAGGAACCCAGAGGGAGGGGAGGCCCTCAGAGTCTAGGCAGCCTGCACTGGAATAACTGGATCCTATGCCCCCCTCCCTCTCTCTGAGGACATTATTCCAGTCATTTCCTTATCTTGCATCCTCAATTTCCCCTTCTCTATTACATCATTGTCAACAGCCTAAATAGAAACCATAAACAATATCCCAAGTGTCCCTTCGATTGTCCTCTTATTTCTCATTTTCCCTGTACTGCCAAACACGTTGAGAGGTTTGATTTGCCTTTTTTTTTTTTTTTTTTTCAGAGACGGAGTCTCCCTCTGTTGCCCAGGCTGGACTGCAGTGGCCCAATCTCGGCTCACTGCAACCTCTGCCTCCCGGGTTCAAGCCATTCTCCTGCCTCAGCCTCCCGAGTAGCTGGGACTACAGGTACACACCACCATACCCGGCTAATTTTTATTGTATTTTAGTAGAGAGGGGGTTTCACCATGTTGCCCAGGCTGATCTCAAACACCTGAGCTCAAGCATTCCGCCTGCCTTGGCCTCCCAAAGTGCTAGAATTACAGGCATGAGCCACCACATCCGGCTGAGAGATTTGCCTTCTCATGCCATCACCAAATTTCACTTCTCCAACTCTCTCTGGGTCCTGCTGTGAGAATTTCCCCCAATCCCCCACCTCTCTGCCCAAACTGCTTTCATCAAGGCCATTGAGGGGCTCCATCCCATGGTCAGTGCTCACCTCTCATTTGTCTTGACTATCAGTGGCACCTCACCTAACAAATCACTTCCTCTTCTTGAAGTTCTTTTCACTTTGCTTCCCAGGCACCACACTCTCCTGATTTCCTCCTAGTGGGCAGTTCACACTTCTTGGTCTCTTGTGAGCCTTCCTCCTCATCACTCCAGCTGCTCCAGTCCTCTGTGCTCACCTCTCTTCTCTCTCTGTACTGGTCCCTGGGAGATCTCATTATTCTTTTTTTTTTTTTTTTAATTTTCACTGCCCCAGTCAAGGGAGACCATTATTCTTATTAGAATATGCCCCTAGGTTTATATCTTCATTTTTCTTTGGCTGCTATAACAAATTACTGGCTTAGTGGATTTAGTAGCTTAAAACAACACAGATTTAGTCTCTCATAATTCTGGAGATCAGAAGTCTTACGGGGCTAAAAATCAATGTGCCAGCAGAGCTGGTTTCTTCTGAAGGCTCCTGGGGAGAACCCATTCGTTGCCTCTTCTAACTTCTAGAGGCTGCCAGCATTCGTTGGCCTGTGGCTATTATTACTCTAACCCCTGCTTCCATCATCACACCATCTTTTCCTCTTTTATTCCTCTTGTGTCCTTCTAAGAGCCATGGTGATCACATCTGGATCATTCAGGCTAATCTCAAAGTCCTTAACTTAATCAAACCCTTTTCCCAAATTAACACTCATGGGTTCTGGGGGTTAGGGTGGGAACATATTTGGGGGATCATTATTGGGCCTACCATACCAGCTCGGACTTCTTTCTGTCTTCAGACTTGGATACCCAGTTGTCTACTCTGCTACTGTACTGGAATATTTAATAGGTGTCTTAAAACCAACATGATAAATGAGCTGTTTCTCTTGAAGTCTTCTTCATCTCAGTTCATGACAACTCCTTCCTTCTAGTTGTCCAGCCCAAAAACTTTGCAGTCTCCCTTAATTCCTCCATTTTTCTTACATATCACGTTCAATGTCAGCAGCAAATTCAATTGTCAGCTCGTCTCAACTCAATGTTGGTGCTTGTCTAGATTATCTCAGGCCCCTCTAAGTGGTCTCCCAGCTTTCTGCACTGCCCCGCTGCAGTCTGTTTTCCACGCAGCAGCCTGAATGATCCTGCTAACACCTAACTCAAATCGTGCCGCTCTTCCTAAAGTTCTCCAGTGACTCTCTATTTTACTAATAATACCCACCAGGTCCTACATGACTTGTGCCCCCGTCATCTCTCTGCCTTCATCTCGTGCCACTATTTACTCTGTCCCAGCTACACGGGCACCTGAGGCATGTCCCTGCTTTGGGGCCTTTGTACGGCGCCTCTCTCAGATGACCATATAGCTCCATCTCTCATACCTCTCAAGTGTTTTCTCAAATGCTACTTTCTTATAAAGATTTCCCCAACCTCCATAGATAAAAGTAGGTTCCATATCGTCTCCACACTTCATCTTGCTCTAGCCTCATTTTCTGCTTTATGTTTCTCTGTGCCTTGTTTCTCTTCCAGTTTTTGCTATCAGTCTACCTATTTTACCTAGTTGTCTTCTCCCTTCACATTGTTTTTCTCCTCTAAACCATACATTCCATGAGGATATGCATTTTTGTTTGCCTCGTTTTCTTCTGTAACAAAGAACCATGTCCAGCTTATAGTAGGACTCAATAAATATTTGTTGCATGGTCAAAAGGCATTCCCTATGTAGGTGTACAAGAGGTAAGTGAAATGTGACATTTGCTTCATCTGTTCTTTTATTAAATCTATCATTAAATGTTTATTGAGAGTCTTCTCTGAGCCCAATGCCACCAGTTCCTCGAGGAACTCAAGTTGTTAAGGGAGTCATAGAAGTAGCCATCTAATTTGAATACAAAGCAGACTTACAAGTGCTGTAGTGAGAGTTCAACGGGCAGTGGGGCACAGAGGAGGAATAGAGGTGTTCTGTCCTGCTGGTGGTGTTGGGTGATTGGAAGTAGCTTCATGGAGAAGATGGCATTTGAGCTGTGCCTTGATGCGTTCCTAGTTGTCCTGTAAGCCTCAGGATCAGTGTGAGAAGTCACAGTTCCTTGACTGCAACTTTAACTCCTGCCAGCCCAAAAGCCAAAGCTTGGGAGGTGCTTTAGCCTCCTCTTCAGCCCCTCAGCCCATTTCAGAGACTTCTGGAGAGAGAATTGAAAAGATCACATCTGCCAAGCAGAAGGCAAGGCTTTCGGTAAGGTCACAGTAGATGGATTGCCTTCACGATGTCATCCTGGGGAGCATGTGTGCAAAATCTGGGCAGGAGATCAGAGCTTTGGCAGGGAGGGGCATGGGCGGGCCGGGCCCATGTGGAAAGCTGGGCCCCAGGGCTCTCTTGTGAGGCAGAAGAGGGTGTCATTCAAGAGCAAGGATAGGATAACAGGTCTTGCAGCCCTGAATAGCTCCCCTGTCTCTGTCTCCTGGTGGCCTTGAAGTCCCATTTGCCCACAAGGGAGGGAGGTTTTGTGAAGAAACACATGACTGGTTGCCCCGGCTATCTCAAATCTGACCTTCTGTTCCCATTTCAAACTTTAGAGTGGAGTCTTCTCGTCTTTGTTCTTTGTTTATTATTTTCTTCTTCATTCCCTCCAAATGTCTTAAGAGGCTAAGGCAGAAACAAGTAAAGGAGAGACCTGGTTTTATAGCTGCCTGGTTTGTAACACTCCCCTCTTGCTGATTTCTTGGGATCAGTGGGCTTACCAGTAGGAGCGTGTTTTGAAACTGGGCTATGATGCAGGAGAAGATCCTGTGTCCCTTGACTGTGCAGATGATGGTAGCCGACGAACCGACAAACACCTTCTGGGTGTCTGGCGCAACTCTGGATTCTGGACTTGCAAAAGGGTAAAAGTGGTGGTGGGCCAGGTGGAAGATGGCAGTGGCCCGTGGCTAGGTCCCAGCTCCTGGGCTGCTGGCTGAGTCCAGGCCACAGCTGGGGCAGCCCAGGTTGAGGGGCAGCCACAGTGAGGAGGGCTCAGGGGACATATGGAAGACCCTTTACTTCATCGTGCCCCCTGGGGTGGGAGTGAGCTGGACACCTTGCTGAAGCCACATGACGTGTGTACATGGGACCCCAGGTTATCGCCTACCTCAGCCCCACCAAGGGTCCAAGCCCTTTCCCTGGGGAGACGGTGACCATGCTCTAGTCAATAACCCTCAGTTAATCTGCTTCCAGCCAGCTATGAAGATGAATAAAGAGAACCTGGACAACTACCCAGGCATGAGCCCAGCACACTGGCTTCAATCATTACTCTGCATGTGGAGCAGAAAAGTGACCTTCAGCTCACCTCTGTACTCATATCAAATGACAACCGGGGTACTGAACTTCCACTCCTTTGCTTGGGAGCGCTTAAATAAATAACCTACCTTAGGGGAAAAAGGCATAAAACCCATGCCTGTGCCCCACAAAGCTCCCCTCTGTAAGTTAGCTCCTAGACCCAGGTGTTCTGAGCTGATGCAGAATTCAGTGTTTTAGAGATGATGAAGCCAAGAGAGGTGGGATGGAGGGAGAGTAGATGACAGCCCAGCTGAGGAAGAAGGGGGAACACTGAGGCCTCCAGAACTCAGAAGGCTGCTGGCATACACCCTGGCCTCGGACTGGCCCATCTCAGTGAACCCCAGGACAGAACTGGCAGTTTTCAGGCTGAGCACAAGTGGGCCCACAACTTCAGTGTTGGTAACTGATTTTAAAGCTATTAATTTAATCTTACAATAAAAACTAATGAAAAACACCAACACAATGAAACAAAAACAGCAAAATCTCTTTTCCTTATAGGATACCATCTCTAGCGCCCCATGATTCTTCTAATTATACCCGCTTCCCTTTTTTATGGCTGATTTAGAGCCAGGCTGCCCGGGTTGGAATCCCAACCCTGCCATTTGCTGGCTCACTCGGGGTGGGCAGGTATCTTAACTTCTGTGTGCCTCAGTGTCCTTATTGGTAGAATGAAGATAATCACAGAATCTACTTTTTTAAGGATCGAATGAGTAACGATTTTTGGAGTGGTCATAAAATCAGTACTGCAAATGGAATAGCCACCTCCCGTCTCCCCCCAACCCCGAGGCCTTCCCTGACTCCTCCGGTCCCACTGAACTGCTTTTTCTAAGTGCTCCATCTGTAGGTGTGAAATAATACACTCATGCCTGAGCTCCAAAGAGTCCCCCTCTGTAGGTAAACTCCTAGACCCAAGAGCACGTGGGCTGTGCCTCTGCTGCAGCCCATACCACCTGTGCTTGGCATTTCTTACGCTGACAGCTCTTCCTGGACAGGGGGGTTGTCTCACTTATCTCTGTGTCCTCTAAGTCCTCACAGTACCTGGCACACAGAAAAAATGCAGCAAATGCTTGTTAGAAAGAAAATGAAACTCTCTTCTCATCTAATGATTCCAGATATCACCTCTCCCACTTATTTCACAGCAGCTCTGGGAGTATGGCAGAGCTGGGATTATTATCTCCATCTTTAGAGGCCCAGAAAGGAGAGCTTCCAAGGTTCCGTGAGTGTCTGGTCAAGGGACAGACACAGGCCTCAGTTCAGAAACTTCTCACTTAGTTGGCCTTTCCTCTTAACACTTTTTGTCATTTCTTATTCTAGTAGCTGCATGCATCTCCTGACTTATTCTAGCCACCTCAGTGTGTCCTGTGTATAAGAGATATAACTTAGTGCCTGGAAGCCCAGCAAGCCAGGGGCTTAGAGAGATGAACTGGCTTGTCCTCTGGGCCCTGGGCCACTGCCTGCTCTCAGAACAAAGCTTCAAGCAGCCTGGACAACATAGCAGGACCCTGTCTCTACAAACAAATTTCTTAAAATTAGCAGGCATGACAGTGCACGCCTATGGTCCCAGCTACTCAGGAGGCTGAAGTGGGAGGATCACTTGAGCCCAGGAGGTTGAGGCTGCAGTGAGCCAAGACCACACCACTGCACTCCAGCATGGTCAACAGAGTAAGATCCTGTCAAAAAAGAAAGTGCCATGAGCTGTGAGCTGTGAGCTGAGCTGTGAGCTGTGAACCAGCCATTTGGACCCAGCTGCTCTCATGTCACTATGTCAAAATATCCTCAAAAAGCAGACAATCTGCAATAGACATCCCAGCCCTTACCCATCCTTGAGCCTCCCTTGCCCATTCCACAGCCCCCAGGGGATGCAGGGGGGATTACTGTGGTAGCTATTACTTGATAATTGAGAAGAAAACAAGCAAAAATAAGTGCTCTTTTTTTCTCTCTCTTTTGGCTGCACTGAAATGCTTCTGGCTTCCAATTGCCCACATGGAGAAGCCTGGGACTCCCCTCAGATGCAACTTATCTTTGTTTCTGGCTCCTGGGGGCTGTAGAGTTGAGTCAGCATCATCAGCTGTATGGGGAGAGGCTGCTATTGAATCTTGTGATCGGGGCCCAAGGGAGAGCTGGAGTAATAGTGATTCACAAGTACACATCAGCTATCACCTTACAAATCACATTCTCATCCATTATTCATTTGACCTTCACAGTTCTCTGGCTAGGTCAGCAGGATGTTACAAGGAGCAAAAATGGATTTTAAAAATCTCAGTAAGCTGAGATAGGCTGTGACTTGAAGCAGAAGCCCGGGTGTGAAAAGTACGGCACAGGGATCTAATACAGCCCATGGTGAAGACCGTGGAGTTAATCCAAAAAACAAAACATAATCTGGTGCAGCCCGCACACCTGGTTCCTTTCTAGTCCCACCAACTGCATGAACTTGGGCAAAGCATAACCCCCTCTGGACCTCAGTTTTTCTATCTGCAAAATGAGGTTGATGAGCTCCAAGTTCTAGCCTAGTGATAGAGTTCAGATATTTGTCCCCATCCAAACCTCACGATAAATTGTAATCCCCAGTGCTGGAGGTGGGGCCTGGTGGGAGGTGTTTTGATCCTAGGGGTGGATCCCTCACGGCTTGGTGCTGTCTTCACAATACTGAGTGAGTAATCTTTTTCTTTTTTTTTTTTTTGGAGACAGAGTCTTGCTCTGTCACACAGGCTGGAGTGCAGTGGCACAGTCTTGGCTCACTGCAAGCTCTGCCTCCCAGGTTCACGCCATTCTCCTGCCTCAGCCTCCTGAGTAGCTGGGACTACAGGCGCCCGCCACCACGCCCAGCTAATTTTTTGTATTTTTTTAGTAGACACGGGGTTTCACCATGTTAGCCAGGATGGTCTCGATCTCCCGACCTCGTGATCCACCCGCCTCGGCCTCCCAAAGTGCTGGGATTACAGGCGTGAGCCACCGCGCCCGGCCTAACTGAGTGAGTAATCTTGAGATCTGGTTGTGTAAGTGTGTGGCAGGCCCCTCCCACCCAACAACCTGCCCCTGCTTTCACCATGTGATGTGTCTGCTTCCCCTTTGCGTTCCACCATGAGAGTAAGCTTCCTGAGGCCTCCCTGGAAGCCAGGCGGATGCCAGCACTATGCTGCCTGAAGAGCCTGCAGAATCATGAACCAATTAAATATCTTCTTTATAAATTACCCAGTCTCAGGTGTTTCTTTATAGCAATGTAAGAAACACCTAACACACCGAGCTATTTTGATGAGGCTATATTAAGACAGAAGGGTGAGGAAACACCTCCCCACTGCTCCCTCAACACACCCACATACCCTGAAGTGGGGGCAAATGTCACTATAAAACCAACAAGTCCATGAACATGTCCCCAGTTGTTAGCAAATCAGTACACAATACCTGCCTTAAGTGTCTGATCCTAACTTCATTGTGTGATTTTCTTTTTACATTGAAAATGTGCTCATGGGGTTCACCAAGAACCTCGAAAGAGCTGTAACAAGATAGAGTGTGCCCAGAGGACGTGGTGGTGCTTGCACATTTTGTCTTTTTTGGTGTGACCTCAGAAAGTGATGATCCTTTCATTTTCTGGTTGGCAGCAGAGGGAGAGGGGCAAGGGGCCTCCTGCTTCCCTCCAATCAGAGCCAAGGATTGGCAGTAGATGGCCTCTTCTTTCTAGATCCTCTGCTTCTTAGTAGTAGCAGGCTGCCCTAACTGTTTTCATGTTAAAAACTCTGCTCAGGGCAACAAGCATGGTAGAGCCACTGTATACATCAACTCTTTTTTTTTTTTTTTTTTTTTTTTTTTGAGGCGGAGTTTTGCTCTTGTTGCCCAGGCAGGAGTGCAGTGGCATGATCTCGGCTCACTGCAAACTCCACCTCCCGGGTTCAAGCGATTCTCCTGCCTCCGCCTCCTGAGTAGCTGGAATTACAGCCACCCGGCACCACACCTGGCTAATTTTTTTGTATTTTTAGTAGAGACGGGGTTTCGCCATATTGGCCAGGCTGGTCTCAAACTGCCAACCTCAGGTGATCCGCCCGCCTCGGCCTCCCAAAGTGCTAGAATTACAGGCATGAGCCACAGCGCCCGGCCCACATCAACTCTTAACTGTATTGTGAATTGTATTTGTGGATTACATACATATCCTTGAAGGCAAAAAATAAATGGAAGCTCAATCAATTCTTTTGCCATGCTCAAAATGTACAGCTGATATTGTGAAGTGCTAAACCCTGTGGAAATGATAGTTGTCATCAGTTCAATGAACAAAATGCAAGCTTGAAAAACAGGACTTTCAACATGTGTTTACCATCAATTGATATGAACCGAACAGCCATATATCTCTTTTTAGTGGGCTGAAACTGACTCCTGTCACAGGAAGAATGGGAAAAAGTTTGATTTTGCTTGAAAAAAATAACATTATGAAAGCTAAAACTCATGATTTTAGAAAATGTAATATCTTCTATTTAAAACAAATATAGTTTATTACAGCATTATATTGCAATAATGTTGGAGAGATAATTGATTAAAATAAAATGAAAATGTATGGAGTAAGCAAAATTGAATTAATTGCTTCTGAATGTAATGTTGTTTTCTTAAATTGAATGAAATGTTTTGAGTCTTTATTCATGCTTTTTCGTAGCCCTTTCAGACATTTTAACTAATATATATTAGTGAGATAGAGAAACCAATATAAATTAGTGAAATTAATATTTGTTATATCTCAAATGGATATAAAATAGGTATTTTAACTAGGTTAATAGAATTTAAAAATTCTGTAAGAGGTATTTGTTTTGAATTATAGATCCTAGAAAATGGAATTATTTTAATCATCTAATTTGTATGTGTTTAACTTTAAGAATGTCTCAATGCAGGAAAAAAAGAGAGGTTTTTATTGTGGCTCCTAAAATTTAGAACACAGATTATTGTAGAAGTTCTCGCAACTGCCTAAAAGGAGTACATGTTTTGAAAGAATAAACAGAAAGAAAAAGAAAGAACAAGGCAAAAGAGTCAGCCCTTGGTGAGGAGGCTTTGAGGAGCCTTGTGGGTCTGGGTAGGCAGACAGTGCGGGCCGGAGGTGGCGCATTCCCTGTGCGGCCTGACAAAGCGACGCAGAGCCCTGCCCTCCAAACAACAGCACAAATGACAGAAGCCATCAGCTGCGGTCAATTTTCCAATGACAAGGCTTCTTAAAGTAAGGCGGTTCAAAGCGCAGGAACCCAAACACTGGGGCACAGTGAGTGAAGCTCACAGGTCCTGCACCTGCCGCTGGCGTCTGTTACAGCTCATTTCTTTCGTGTGTCAGGTAGAAAGGGCACTCTATATAACTCTGCACTTGCCCAGGAATCTCTCCTCTACAATCGGCAGCCAGTACTTCACGTGTCTGGAGGGAGCGGGAGAGGCAAGCAAGGTTAATGACGTGCCTAAGGTCACGGGAAAAGTAAGTGGAGAAATATGAGCAGCCTCCCAGACCTTGGGCCTGTTTCCCTCCCATTTCTGTGCTGTGACACACAATGCAACGGATGAAGGGACGGTTCTCCTTTTATCATCCTTTCCAACAAGTGGAAAAATTGCTTTGCTGAGACAGTGACCAATTTCTTTCTAAAGCGTTCAGTACACAAGACCTCCTGAAAGTACCTATGTAAATGGAACCCACGTCTTCCTTTTCTGTTCTTCTTCTTATCGTGGTGTTGGTTGTTCCTAATATAAGTATTATTTTAGGCTTTCTCTTACCACAGCCCTTTAAGCCACAAAGACCCTCTAGGCTTCTGATGTTGAGGTCATGGAGGCCACTCCTTCCCCAAATTCCGATCTGCGAAGGCATCAGAGGAGAACGGCTGTGAGAAGCAGTGGGCGGGAACCCATCCTTGGCTAGGTTTACAGTGCTGTTGAAGGGGCTGATGGCGGCTACTGTTTGTTTTTACCGTCTCTCGCTCTCTCTCTCTGATAATTCCCTCCAAGTTGGACACTTAAAATAAGGTCCTCGTAAACTCCTTCAGCTTGAGAGTTTCCAGGAAAGGGAATGTTAATTTTGTTGACAAATTTCAGTATCCCAAAGCCCCAGGTCTTAATTCATTGTCAAACTCTCGGTCCTGAGCCTGCATACTCCCCTTGTGCTCCTAATTAGTCTTGTCATGAGCTCCTATGCTGTTGTCTTAAACACAGCCCTGTGTCCTGGGAGCCAAAGGGCGCTTTGGGGTGCGTAGTGCTGTATTTGTGTATATTTAAAAAAAATAGTCATCGCTCGTCTTGCTGTGGCCGCCATCATTTTTCCGTGGAGGTGTTGCCATAGAGATGTTGTCTGATCCATCTCTATTGATATCACCCTTTAAAGGGGCCCCTGAATAGGCACTGAGGTAGGTAAATGTATGCAGTGACATTGAGCGGATGATTCTATTCTGAAAAATTCCTGCACCATTTGTTTCTGTGCTTGTCTGAGGGCCGGGACACGGTGTTGGGTTTTGTTGCACGTGCTCTCTTCACAGGCCCGGAGTTAATGCAAGCCTTGTTTGAAACCACTGAAGCAGAAATTTCTCTGCTGCCAAGGACAAAAGCTTCACAGGCCACCTCGGAGGCTGCTTTGGGAAGGCCGTGTCTCCGGGGCTCCCAAAGGAAATGGGAGATAACCGGGAGCAGGGAGGAGCACCTCAAATTCCCCCAGCCCTCCTAGACTGTCTGGACACATCTGGCCCCCTCTCTTCTGGGGAAGTGCTGGCCTCTCCAATCAGAGGTTTTGATATAATTTGCCCTTTTCCAGCCTGTTGAGAGAAATTGTCTGAAAGATAGGCGTGCTTTTCTGTCCGTGGTATTAAGTGTGTATTTGTACATCTTCTCTGCATCTTTTCTGTCTCACATCATGGGGGAGAAGCTCTCTTATAAACAACAGTCACAGTTACACTGATTCACACCTTTACGTTTAAACCAAATGATACCACGTTCTCTTCCTACTCTGAGAAAAAGAAAGGGAGGAAGAAAAGACACAAGGGGGGAAGGATTTATTGAATGCCCTGTGTCCTGAAATAGTGTCGGGGACTTGGTAAGTCATAATAAACCAATTTTGTTGAAAAAATGAACAAGGGACTATTTAAAGCCAAGCATTGTGCTAGGAGTTTCCAAAAGTATTTTCTGTACTCTTCTCAGCTCTGTGATAAAGGAGTTGTTAGCCCCTTTTTACAAAAAGATTGAGTGACTTACCCAAGACCGCACAGAAGAGAAGCAGTGGCCCCTGGACTTGAATCTGGGTCTTTTTCCCAGACTCCAGCAGCTCTGCCCCAACTCTATTTGGTGGCCTCTGCCCATGGGCCGGTGCTGTGGGAGGTAGGACTGCTTTCTCACTTCTGGGCACGAGGGTAGAGTGGATGGGGCTCCACTTTCCCCATGCTCCTTGCTCCGACCCCTGTTCTTGTCCATTTGGCCGTGGCCAGCCCCTGCCTGGTGTTAGCAGCATCGTAGAAGGGAGGCTTATGAGGACAAAAGCAGAAATTGCAAAGTTATGGACATTTCCTGAGCCTCGAGATTAGCTCCAGGGTGGTTTTTGTAACAGTGGTTCTGGCCCCCAGATGTCTGCTTCTCTGTCAAGTTACCCCATGTGTGGGTCGTGTCTGCTGAAGGCTTAGCAGGAAGGCAGGGGATAAGCATTTTTTTTTTCCTTTGGGAACTGTGGCATGTGGATTTTGGACATGGAACTTCAGTGTTCATTCATCCTTTCATTCATTCACTCACTCCTAACTTCATTACTTCATTTATTCATTCATATACTCAATCCACACTCTATGTAGGACATGAGCCAGGCACAGATGTCCAGCATGAAGCATGCAGAAATGAGTAAGGCAGGGGCCCTATTTCCCATCCACTAAGAAATGTTTAATAATAGCACCAAAAATAACAACAGTTAACAGCTTTATCATTTACAGAATGCCCTCACAGCTCTCATCCAATCTTCACCACATAAATTGTGGTAGGAACTATTGCTAAATGGATTTCATAGATAAGGAAAACAACACTCAGATTTGGCCAAAAAGTCAGTAAGTGGCTGGGGTGAGTTTGCACCCCAGTCCTTTGATCCCAGGTCCTGTGTGGTTTTGAGTAGCCCCAGTGTTTCCCCTCTGCATTTCTCTGTCTGCCACTTTATGACCAAGGAGTCAGCCCATTTTGGATAATGAAACCACCTAAACCCACTCTGTTTGACTCCTTCGAATAGTGGGGAAAGGGTGGCATTTCGCAGAACTCTTCAGGAGAGGCTGCTTTGTTTATGTTCTTGAGAGTTCACAAGTGGGTTGCAAGGGTCCCCCTATTTTGGACTAAAGTAGTGATTTTCAATTTTGTCTGTACATTGGAAGCTTGCAAACACTCAGGCCTGGGCCCCATCCCAGAGATGGTGATTCACTGGCTTGAGATGGGGTCCAGGCAGTATGTTTTTCTGTCCACATCCATTCTGAGCTAGGGTGTTCCTTGGCCCTACTCAAAATGCTCAGTTTTGGCCTGTTCTGCAAATATCCTCTGACTGGAAGGGAATGCTGAGAGGAGGGAGGTGTATGCCCCAGCAGCCGTCTGGGCTTAAGGGATCTCATGCCCTGCTAGGCACCAAGCTAGAGCGGAGGGTCCCTCATGGATGGCCTGGTGGACACTGCAGGTTAACATTTAACTAGCAGTACTCTGGGAAACAGGTCTAATGTCTGACGTTAAGGGTTGCCTTCAGCGGCCCAGAAAATTCCTGTTAAATTAGAAAATATGATGTCACTGCTATCCTGTACAATACTTACAGGGGTAATGACACTGTGTCCGGGAGAGGAGGCATGAGAATGGAAAAGACAGACCACTTCTTTGCATAGGGCTCCCAGTCTGGAGGAAAAATACATACAGAGATCATTTCAACAGAATGGGACATGGGGAATCGGGACCGACTCTGCCTACAGAGGTCCAGGAAGGATGAACCACAGAGATGTCCATGATTTGGTTTTGAAGGGAGGGTTGGATTTCTCCTGGCCCGACTGTGGGAGGTGCTTTGCAAATGGAAGGCACAGCAAGAACAAGGCAAATCGTGCTCAGGAAAAGCGAGACATCCAGCAGGAGCACAGGGGGAAAGGTGAAGCTAAGCCTAGAAGGTTGCAGGTTTGCAGCTTTATTCTAGAGTCAAGAAAGAACTGGGAAAGGATTTCAAGCGAGGGAATGACAAGGTCTGTGTCTTGGGAAGAGCAGCTGTGCCGTAATGTGGAGAATGCATTGGGCTTACAGTGATTGATTCCAATGAGCAATGGAGATTGAAGGGACAGAGACTAATTCAAGCTATCGCAGGGCCAGAACTGGGTGGTGGCTGAAGGTTGGAGAGAAGAGGCCAGAGGAGGATGCTCGTGTCAAGCCCCTTGGAAAGGAGAGAATGGGACTATTTATAATGAATTAGCAGCCAGCAGCCGCTCCTGTCACTGCTGTTAGAAAACTGGCCTTTGACCTCGGAAGGGTCCATCCTCCAACTGCCACTCCCTGGCTCACTGCAGAGTCATGCAAGGTGATGCTCCCCCATAACTATGGTCTCGATGCATCTCAGATTCTAGCCCCTCAGCTCCCTATGGGGGTTAATCTGCATCTGAACGTACTGGTGCAGGCATTCTCACATGTGGGGCCTTAAATGTTAGAGTCTCTCTTGCTGACCAAATGCTCTGGGCTCCCCAAGGCTGAGAGCTATTAGGGAAACAAAGGAAAGCCCTTTTAATTAGGCTCTCTGCATTTCCCCGCAGGAGAGGGAGGAGGGGCGCAAGAGCCCCAGTTGTTCTGGTGATTAGATACAACAGGGGAGAAGTTTAAAACATCTGGGTGTATTTATACCTCCAAAGCCATGACCGAAACACGTGAGGATTCAAAGGAGCTGAGCCTTCCACTGGGCTTTTGTTTACGTTTATTGGCAGATGCCTGGGAGGATCCAGGGTTGATGGGAAGTCTCAGGGGCAGCCCTTCCTCAGTCTCTGGAGACACTCACCTTCCCCTCCCCCTCCCGCCAGAGCCCAGGCCTGGGGAAGAGAGGAGGGAGACTTATTATTCTAGAAAGTTACATTTATAGTGTTGTTCAGCACACCACTTAAAAAAAATTTATTTCAGGTTTAGGGATATATGTGCAGGTTTGTTATGTAGGTAACTTGTGTGTCTCAGGGGTTTGCTGTACAAATTGTTTTGCATCCAGGTACTAAGCATAGTACCTGTTGTTTTGTATCCAGGCACTAAGCATAGTACCTGTTGTTTCGCATCCAGGTACTAAGCGTAGTACCTAATAGGTAGTTTTATGATCCTCACCACTTTGTTTCTTAACCAAGTATCCCACTTTATACCCAGCAGGCACACTGAGGGATGGGAACTAGCAGACTGGTCTCCAGCAGGTTTTAGACTTGCAGTTAAGAACTGTGTTAAAACTCGCAACCAATTTTCTGTAATACATAAATACATATCCTTAAAAAAAAGGCGGGGAGAAGGAGCAATGAGTGTTTATAGAGATTTGTCCTCAGTAGTCACTGGCAAATTCAAACGGAAGACTATAGATGAAGACAAAGATTTCAGTGGTCTCTGTTTTGCAGCATCTGGCAAAATTCAGATGTCATTGAGACTCTGCAGTGGTTGAATGTCCTTTTCTACAAGTTATGGCTAGTGTAAGCTATTAGAAAAAAATGTCAATAAAAGAAGGCAAGATTCTTCTCATTTGATACCCCAGTGCGGATCTTCTAGAAAAGTCACCTCTATGCAAATCCTCTCACCCTGACAGCCGCAGAGGACAGGAAGCCCTTCCCCTGGCTGATGTCACATTTTTTTTTTTTCTGAGAACGACTACTTTTCAAAAAGGCATTTAGAACAAATTGTGCCGTTTGAGAGAAGACAGGGATAGAACAGAAACCGTCAAGCTTTAATTTCCCTGCTAATTAATGCTTGATCATCTATCCTTTTATGATTCTTGACCCCAGAAGGAAAATTTATTAGTACTTTTAGATTTTGCACAGTCGTGCTAAATGAGGCATGTAATGCATTAATTTAGTGCCTCGTTAGCATAAACAGGGCCTCCCCAGCCCCACCCCCCATTCCCCATGGAAGGTTTCTCTGGAGCTGTAGGGAACTTACCTAGCACAGAATGCATTATTTGGCTCTGGTGTCTGAGAGGCCATAGCCAAGGTGGGGGCTTGCCCTACCCACCCTGGGGGATTCAAACATCAGACCTGTCTCTCCTTTTAATGAGAACATTTAAATCCCAAAGGCTTCAAGCCACTTCACACCAGTCCTCATCTTACAGAAGGCCCAGTCTGTGCAACTACTTTTCAGCATCTCAGTCCTACCCCTCAAATCAAAAAATGAAATCTTAACCCTAGGAGGGGATTTCTGTTGGTTGGGATAGTGAACTGTTGGTGTCCTAGCTGATTCAGGTCATATTCAGCACAGGCATTTAGCCTAGATATTTACCTGGAATAGAAGCCAGCTCAGTAAATGCCCAGGTTTGCTGCAGGTACGTTTAAAACCCTGCAAAGGATGCTTCAAGTTGATGCAGTCCAGCACCCTGTGTTTTAACGGAGGCAGAGAATTGTGGAGAAGTTTGCTGGGCAGGGAGCAGGGACTCTGCTCTGACTCTGCCGCCAACTCCCTTGGGAACTGCGGAAAGGCACTTGCCCTTTCGGACCTCTGCTCTCCCATCTGTTAAACAATCTGTAAATCTCATGTCTAAGGTCCCTTCCGGTTTTGACATTCCATCATTCAACGTGCTGAGAATGCCAGGGGCAGACTGCGTGAAAGAGAAAGTCTATCGCTTTGGGCAAATCTATTTTTAGGAACATAACCCAAGAAGATAATTAGATGTACACATGAAAATAAGGTATTTATGAGATTACAAAAGACTGGTTAAATAAAATATAGTATATCTATATGACACAATCCTATGAAACCATTAAAAATAACACCATAGAATAGTATAGTCATGGAAAGACATTCGTAATATTTTGTTTTGCAAAAATCCAGGGCTTTTAAACAAGACTTCACACAGGATAATAGTTTTGCAAAAATATATCCAAAAAATATGCCTAGAAAGAGATCTGAGGGGATCTACACCAAACTGTTAATATCTATCTTTAGGTAGTAGGGTTTTAGGAGATATTTGTCTTTTTTATAATTTTCTGTATTTCCAATACAGAAAATGAAGGTGTATCATTCTTAGAAAAAATACAAGTGTGTATCATTCTTGGAAATTTACTTAAAATGAATGTGTATCATTCTTAGAAAAAAATATTAAAATTATTTAAAAGAAACAAAATTTTGTTCTTAAATATGTGTATTCTTTTCACATCTCATTTTTCAGATACATGAAATGGCAGCTACGAAACATCTTAAAAGGTCAGAAAATAAATGAATTGTTGGCTAGAGGTCAGCCAACAATAAAAAATTTGGATGATCAAAACTGCTTGACATATATACAATGCTAGGTGAGTTAATTTTATTAAGGCTGAAGAGAAAAAAATGTATAAAGGTTTTCAAATGAAGAACCTGGCCTGACTGGCATGTGTCCTTATTATGATCCCAGCGTGTCCATCTTGCAGAGGGCTTAAAGATGATCCACATCAGCTCCCACATTACACAGACAGGTAAGGCACTTGCTCCAGGTCTGGGAGCTGTTTACAGCAAAGCCAGGACTAGAACCCTGTGTCCAGCTCTAGCTCCCATCTCAGGGCCAAAGCTACAAGGACACCCGCCCTCTCCGTGTGACCATGGAGGATGCCGGGGCTGAGATTTCCTTCCTGGAGCGCTCCAGGTATGCATTCTGACGGCTCACGTTACTTTCTTCTCAGTGGCGGTCCTTGGCTCTAGAATGTGATCTCCTTGGAGATAGACATGGCACTAGGCGTGCGGATCCTGTCTGGAGTGGGCAGAGCTTCTTCTAGAATACCAGGGCTTCCTGCCACATTCTCTTCACTGCACGGCAGTTTGTCTGTGTTCTCTGAAGTACTCTTCTGGGTTAATTTGCCCTAAGGGAGGAGAGCAGAGATTGGAAAAGTCAAAATATTAGATTACGTGAATATCGCTTATAAATTACTTGGAAATTCAATTCTACCACTATCCCCTGAGAATGTCCTCATTGCTGGGAACTGTCCTCACTGCTGGATCTTTGGGAGGAAGGAGGGTGATGAAAGGAAAGAGGAAGATGCTGTAGACACTGCCGCTGCACTCCAGGGTCTCAGAATCTGAGTGGGGGAATAGTCAATGGGAAGAAGGAGCTGTAAAATAAGGCAGCCTAGAAGAATGTGAAAAGGTACAAGCCGAATACAACACCAGCAGACTCAACAGGGATTGTTTAGTTTGGAGGGAGGAGGTCCCTAAAGGCTTCCAGGAAAGGATGGCATTTGAGATAGGTCTTTGGGAAATGGGATCTCAACATTTAGAGACAGAGAAAGGAGCATTTGAGGTTGAGGGAGCTGTGAGTGACAGTATGGTCAATGCAGATGCAGAACGGCCTTGGGGGTGGAACTAGAAACAGGTAAGGGGCCAGTGTGGCCGGAACTCAGTGCACATAGGAAAATATGAAGAGAAGGTGTTGGAGGGATGTGGGGTCATGGTTTGAGGTGCTTGAAGAACCCATAAAAGTATCTGGACTTATCCTATATGAAAAAAGGAGGTGTTGCCTGCAGGATTTTGAGGTGAGCTGTGCTTTAGGAATTTTTTTTTTTTCACATTGGAGGGGAAAAGACTAGAGTCAGAAGCAGTCATTTTAGAGAGAAGAAATAATCGTGATGACAGGAAGATCCCAGGTCCCCTGCTTCCAGCTGGCGAGGAGAGAAACCAAGCTCTTTGGTTCTTCTTAGACTTTGTGGCTGCTCTTACAACTTGCTGAGAGAAACTTCTGAGCTGGTGTTTCAGCAGCTTTAGTTAGAAGCCAGGAAATGTAACTAGTGATGTTGGTGGCCCCTCTGCGATGGGTGGAAGGCTGGCGTCCTCCCCACTACCATGCAGGAGAAATTGTGCTCCCACGCTAACAGCTGGGACCCCAGTGTGGTCCTGAGTCGGCGACTGTAAAGCTACATTTTCCAACTAAGGGATGCCTCAGGAAATAATAAATCTCTCAGGATTTATGGGCCAGGAAATTCTTTCAGGAGAGAAAATAGAGAAGAGGTAAAGCAGAGATGGGGCAAGGCAGGAGAGCAGCTGCCCAGGACCCTCCTGGCACAAATATTGGGCTTGGTGAGTTGCGGAATTGCCCATCAGAACTCATGGCTGAGAAGGACTTGAAGGATAATCTAATAGGATCTCTTTTGCTTTCCCCTTCATTGAACTCATGCTTCCTTCTCTGCAAAGTAAGAAGGTTGAACTCAATGACCTCCAGGGTCTTTGCCTCCAGGTTATTTGATGCTTGTGGTGAAGCCAGTCTTCTCACTAAGGGCTCTGGTTATGCCACATGCCTCATTTTCCCCAGCTGAAAATGCAATCAACCGAGTCACCTATCACCCATGTTTGGGCTGAGGATTAACGATGGGAGGACATCTGGAGACTTCCCTCGGAGGGATACAGCTGGGTCTGATTACCTCTTATTTACTGTCTTTTTACTCTGGAGACGGCCCACATACTCACCCTAAGGAACAATGACAGAAGCATGCAGACCATCCCAACACACCCTCCAAAACACCCCCAGCCCAGCAGCCAGTCGCCATGCATAAAATGCATAAATCCACAAACGCAGACTCGGGCACACACATAGGCACACGCACACACGTCCTCTTTCTTCGCCTTTTCTGCCTGGTGTCTGTCAAACAGTGCATCCCCTTCATTCTCAGAGATCTGAGACCGGCCTTGTTCTGGAGTTGGTGAATTCCAGCACACCCCCTGCCTTCATTCCAAGCTGGAGCTCCGGGTGCCGTCAGCAGATGGCGCCCGGAGCTCTCAAACGACTGGGTGAATGCCTCGGGCCTGAACTTCTGGCCTCCCCACTCCCACCCTTGGAATGGGATAATTTGGGAGTCATCTGTGGGAGGGCTGCCAAGGCCTTAAATTTACTACTTGGAGCTGGGATAATTTTCCCCAGACGGGGCATGGAGGGGGAGAGAGGAGGAAGGAAGCGGGGTGGGGGCTGCAGACCTGGTCAGGGCCACGACAGCTCCAGCTCTGCCAGCCAAAGAAGGCCTCACTGAGAGGCCCCATCCAAAGGGGTGTCTGAAACAAGGGCAGGTCACACCCTGGAGGGGGAAATGCTTTCACTGCTATGAAAACCCAGGAGAACAGAAGGATTTACAGACAAAAAATAAAGCCAACAAGAGCTTCCAAATCATGTCTATCCCTCCCACTTCCAATCTCTGACTCATCTTCTAAGCCCAGTTTCAACCTCACCTACTGTGTGAAGCTGTCCCTGACCCACACACCTCCTGTCAGCATTAACCATTCATTTCCTTTTAACTTTTTATTCTGGAATTTTCCAAGCATATACAAAAATAGAGAATATGATATAACAAACTCTCTTATACCCACGCCCAGCTTTAATAATGACAATTATCAATGTTTTGCCAAATTGTTCATCTATTCTCCAACCTTTTTTCTGGAATGTTTTAAATCAAACCCCAGACATCATATCATCTCACCCCAAAACACTTAAGATGTTTTTCCCTAGCGTTACTTATTTATTTATTTATTTTGAGATAGAGTCTTGCTCTGCCGCCCAGGCTGGAGTACAGTGGTGTGAACTTGGCTCACAGCAACCTCCACCTCCCAGATTCAAGTGATTCTCCTGTCTCAGCCTCCTGAGTAGCTGGGATTACAGGCTCCCGCCACCCTGCCTAGTTAATTTTTGTATTTTTAGTAGAGACAGGGTTTCTCCATGTTTGCCAGGCTGGTCTCGAACTCCTGACCTCAGGTGATCCGCCTGCTTTGGACTTTCAAAGTGCTGGGATTACAGGCATGAGCCACCGGGCCTGGCTTTCCCTAGAGTATTTTAAAACAACCTAGACATCTGCATGCATCTCTGACTGAGAAGGACTGCTTTCCCTTTAACATAACCACTTGCCATTATTATATCTAACATTTACAATCATTCTTTATGGCACTTAGCTCCCTGTGGCATTTGTCATGGTTCGTTTGGTGTGAGAGTTACACCGAACATAAGTGTGTATCCCCTCTATTTGACTGTAGTTGCGTTTGGAGCATGGATCAGACCTCACTTATTCTGGAGTTCTCAAGGACTCCCAACAGCACCTGCTCAGAAGCCCTGGAAAGTCAGAGCACAATTAAGGACATTCGCTCTAAGAAGACACTCTCACGGTTATCGCTGGAACCCAGGGTCCCTCCAATTGGAAATGTGAAGTCAAAGGAGGAAATTGCTCTTAGGCTGAGTCACAAGACTCGTGTCCTTTTCTCCTGAGGTAGATAAGAGACACACACACAGGCAGATACACACCTCATGCCTCCAGGAGCCGCAGAGGCAGAGAATGCAAAAAATGTGGTGGTGCCAGCCGCAGCGAGGTCTGGAAATGCCTTCTTAATTGAGCCTTTCTGGGAGCTGCACAGGCTGGCTGGAGGAGGGACAGGAATGGAGAGGCGAGTGAGGTGGAAGGGGCCACGAAGGGCCATGTCTGAGATGGGGCCCAGGGGTCTTTGATCCTACTTCGTTTGTCATGAGTTTAGAGACCCAGAAAAAAGAGCCTTGAGTTTCTTCCAATAAAGCACTGTTACCTGAAAAATGCCCATCAGAACAGAATTGCTCCACCTTTGAATGGTTCTGTCTATAGGAAAGTCTTTTCTAATAGGAGCCCAAGTCTCTTTTCCTGCAGCTTTCACACACTGGGGCCACTCTGAACAAATTTAGTGGTTTGACAGGAATGATTAGGGGTGGGGATGGGACTCAGAAACCTCTGCAGGGTGCCTAGTAAGTGCTAGACATCTTGCATGCATTAAGTCGTAAACCAGAAAACTCCAGAGAGACCTTTGCTGTGGATATTACTGTCCCATGTTGCGGATGAGGAAAGGGGCTCTGGGAAGTCTGCAGGTTGCCCAGGACACAGGTCCACCCAGCTCTCATCTAGCCTGTCTTCTGGTTTCCCTTCAGATGGCTGGAAACACGGCTCCTGGCTCCTCGAGCCCTCTGGTCTCCCGGCTTCAGACCTCCCTTACAGCACATACTTTCCCAGCCCATCATGACCAGCTTCTGGGGTTCCCTCTGTTTGGTCTGCAACCCTCTTCAGTGAGATCCCAGACAGGGACATAAGCATTCTTGTTGCTTTGCTGGGAAAGCACGATATGCCAGCCAGCAACCGATGTACATCATCATTTGCTTGAAGAAATAACATGAGCTTGTGACTCCTGGCCACACTCTGGGTAGCAGGAGGAGCACAGTCTGAGGTCAAAGGATGTCACAACTCTCAGCCAGGCTGGCTGAGACAGGTTCTAAAACAACCCTTTCCAACCTACTGCTCTCCTACTCCCAGGACCTGGAGCCACTGACCCTGCCATGGAACAGGTTGCATGATGTTTTACATCAAATTGTATTGATTCTTTGGTGAATAGGTAATACGTTCTCATGGTTTAAAGTTTAAAATGGTACCAACGATATAAAGTAGAAATCCTCCCTCCTACTCCTTCCTCCCATCACCCATCTTCCACTTCTAGGAACAATGTTTCCAGCTTCTGGTGCATTCCTTCAGATGTAGTCATCATGGATACAATGCAAATAAGTAGGTATATGTGTATCCCTATTCCTTTTTCCTTTTTAAATACAAAATCAGTGTATTATACTGTTTACCACTGCCCTCACCTTTAAAAAGTTTTTTAGATTTTTTGTAGAGATTGGATCTTGAGATGTTGCCCAGGCTATCTTGAATTCCTGGCCTTAAGCGATCTTTCACCTCGGCTTCCCGAAGTGCTGGGATTATAGTTGTGAGCCACTTGAACTCCCTCCTTTTATTCACTTAGCACGTATACCTGCAAGTTTGTGACTTGAAGGGGTTTAAATTTACCCTCTTCTGCACCAGTGGTCCGAATGTGAACCCTACACTGTGAACCCAAGACAAAACACAATGCAGGCTGGGCATGGTGGCTCACACCTGTAATACCAGCACTTTGGGAGGCTGAGACACACAGAGAGCTTGAACCCGGGGGTTCAAGACAAGCCTGGGCAATACAGTGAGACCTTATCTCTACAAAGAAACAAAAAAACAAAAAAACAGACCTAGTACTGTGTGCTTGCAGTCCCAGCTACTCAGGAGATTGAGATGGGAGGACAACTTTGGCCCAGGAGGTAGAGGTTGCAGCAAGCTGTGATCACACCACTGCATTCCTGGACTGTAGAATGAGACTCTGTCAAAAAAAAAAAAAAAAAAAAGAGATGAACCTCTCATTTAATGCTTGTTAAACAGATAATCTCCACATAGATATAAAGAGATGACTGCAGATGCATTCTTTTTTGCATCTCCCATGTACATTTTCCAAGAGATTTTGCACTGCTCTTTGGGGGGTGTGACCCCTACTTTATAAGGACAGTAATCATCCAGGGACTGACATGATTTATCCAAACTAAGCTGCTGCCCTATTTGAGCTACTCTGATTTTGTGCTTTGGAGGCATTAGAGTTGAGCATCTGAGAACAGAGAGACTTGGCTGAGTTTTCTAAATAATAACTTCAATATACTCAGATGCGCTAGGAAGAAGTCACGCTGTCAATATGATACGGTCAAAGGACTCAGGTTTCTCCTTCCACCTTGAACTGAAGATGACACATGCACCAAATCATTTTTTTCTAAGCTTTCTTTTAGCTTCCATGGCTGCAAAGCAGTGATAATTCAACTTGCCATTAGGGTTTTAAGTACTCCCAGGTATTAAATACCTAGCATTAAACAGTACAAAAATATATTTTTAAAAATACCAACTAGGAAAGTGCTAAAATGACACTCTGTCTTTGCCTAAGTATACTATGAGAAATGGAAAAGCTGGCCTCTGGGGGGCCATCTGCTGAGCCCAGGAGTCTAGGAAGCTTCGATGATATATGTGCAATCACTGAATTATGCTGGAGAAAAGATCTAAAACAGACATGGTTTCAGAGCATTCATGATAAATGGTTCTTCACAAATTGAAGCTGATTATTTCTCTCCCTCACATTCCCAAAGAGGTGGTCTCTGCTTTTAAGCAGAGTTCATTCCTGGAAACTCCATCTTAAAGGGAAATCCTAGTCTGATTGTATAGTTAAGGGTCTCTCTCTTCAAACATGTTCAGTCTCATGAGAGAACTGAATGGATGAAAGTGACAGGAAGGAAGAATAGGCACATTTAGACCCCGTCAAACAAGCGTGGCAAAAACTGAAGCCTGCTTGAAATGATGCTCTGTAAAGAGAATGCAGTTTCGTATAACGAACAATTGGTGCAGTTATTGAATAATGTAGATGGCCGTTGAAGTGAAAAAGTGCAGATGGAGACACAGTAAGACCTGACGCATGCCTGGGAGATTTAGAAAATGGTTCCCCAGGCCGGGCGCGGTGGCTCACGCCTGTAATCCCAGCACTTTGGGAGGACGAGGTGGGTGGATCACGAGGTCAGGCGATCGAGACCATCCTGGCCAACATGGTGAAACCCCATCTCTACTAAAAATACAAAAATTAGCTGGGTGTGGTGGCGCATGCCTGTAATCCCAGCTACTCGGGAGGCTGAGGCAGGAGAATCACTTGAACCCAGGAGTCGGAGGTTGCAGTGAGCTGAGATTGCACCACTGCACTCCAGCCCGGAGACAGAGCGAGACTCCGTCTAAAAAAAAAGAAAAGAAAAAGAAAATGGTTCCCCAAATGGAGCCCACTGTGTTGCCCCCAGCTTTCTCTTCCCTTCACCTGGGCCCTTCTTCTACCCTGAATATCTTGGCCCAGGGTAAGGGACAACTGTCGTAGAGAGCCTTTCTGTGCCTCAGTTTTCTTCATAGGAAAGTGACCATGCAGCAGTCCAAGGACATTCGCCAAATGCTGCAGAGCCTGGGAACTAACCGCCTCCCTTCCAAGCCTGATGGAAGAAATGGCCTCCCTTCTAAGCCTGGTGGACCTGGGACATCTGAGACCAGAAAACCAGAGGCCAGCTGATTAAATATTAATAGTTAGCTGTTATGGGAAGGTCTCTTGAAAGAGTTCAAGACCAGCCTGGGAAACATATGGAGACGCCATATCTACAAATAGTAAAATAAGTTAGCTGGGCATGTGCCTGTCATCCCAGCTACTCAGGAGGCTAAGATGGGAGGATCACTTGAGCTCAGGAAGTTGAGGCTGCAGTAGCTATGATTGTGCCACTGCATTCCAGCCTTGGTAAGAGAACAAGACTTCATTTCAAAAAAAAAAAAAAAATCCTGTAATCCCAGCACTTTGGGAGCCTGAGGCGGGCAGATCATGAGGTCAAGAAATCGAGACCACCCTGGCCAACATGGTGAAACCCTGTCTCTACTAAAAATACAAAAATTAGCTGGGCATGGTGGCACATGCCTGTAATCCCAGCTACTTGGGAGGCTGAGGCAGGAGAATCGCTTGAACCTGGGAGGCGGAGGTCGCAGTGAGCCGAGATTGCGCCACTGCACTCCAGCCTGGGTGACAGAGTGAGGTTCCATCTAGAAGGAAAGAAAGAAAGAAAGGAAGGAAGGAAGGAAGGAAGGAAGGAAGGAAGGAAGGAAAGAAAGAGAGAGAGAAGGAGAAAGAGAGAGAGAAAGAAAGAAAGAAGAAAGAAAGAAAGAAAGAAAAAGAAAGAAAGAAAGAAAGAAGAAAGAAAGGAAGGAAGGAAGGAAGGAAGGAAGGAAGGAAGGAAGGAAGGAAGGAAAAGAAGTTAGCTGTGGTGTTAGCTGGGCCAAACTAAGAACACCAAGTCAGTTTTGTCTGTGTTTTACATCTACAATTTTAAATATCAAATTTAAACATTGAAAAGTTTTTTTTTTCCTTTGAACTGGTGAGTGGCTTTGGCTCCCAGCAGAACAAATGGAGAGAAAGCAATGAACTGTCTGTGGAGTGAGTGTGTATTAAAACGTGGAATGAGGATCTCCCCCACGGGGCGGGGAGACTAGGAGAAAGCTGCCAGAGGCTGCTGGCAAGAGATATCCACTGGTTCTAGACCTGGCGGAGAGCGCTGGAGGTGGGTGGGGAGGTGGGGGTTGGGGAGCGTGTTGGAGTTGGGCTTGGGTCATTGTAGGTGAGCCGGCGTGGTTCTCTCTCAGGAAAGCACCAGAGAGGCCTGGCTCTGGGGAAGTTGGAGGTTTTACTCCCTGGCATCATCTGCAGTCGAGAGTGATCTGGCAGATACTATCTCTCCCAACCAACTTGGCAAGGCTCTGGTCCTGTGTGAGGAGGCAAGGAGTTCTCTTGGATGAGGTGAGCACACCCAGGTGAGGCAGCACACAAGAGGTCCACGCCTGCTCTGCAGACAGAGGGAGGTTAGCATCCGGAAGAGGCAACTACACAGCTGCCACCCCATTCGGTACTTCTCTCAAGGCACACGGGCGGTGTGGCAGAGCCTGTTCCTTGCTGACCAGTGTCCATTCCCCCTTTCTTCCTTAGTATCGGATTCCAGTTTTATCTGGAGTGGTGATGAGGCTACATTTCCAGCCCTCCTTGCAGCAAGGATGGCCAACGAGACGCAAGCACAAGTCATGACGTGGGTCTTCAAGGGGCCCGACTTGGTGGGCAGAGCGCTGCATTGGCCTTTGGCGTTCCCCGTAGTCCTCTGCAGGGGACTCTGCAGTAGCCCATGAGGTTACAGGGCTGATGCGAGGCTTGTGCTCTGGTAATGATTGATCATTTTGTAGGCTGCAGCCTATCTACAGATGTCTTTTAGATGGGCAAATAAACTCCCAATTTGGCAAAGTCACTCCAATTAGGACTCTTACTACCAGCTAAACAGAATTCCTAACTGATCCAGATGGACTTGGAGAGAAAAGAGCTCCCAGTCACTGGAGATGTGCAAGCATCAGTGGCAGGGGTTAGTGGGGCGAGGGGCCTGGCAGGGGCTGGCGGGGCAAGTGCAGGACTAGAAGTATTTGCTATTTGGTGACCCTCTGTGAGGTGTTCAAATCCCAGCCTGCTGGGGCTATTGGTTAACTGGTTTTAGTCTGAGCCTTAAAACAACAACAGGCTCAAAAGAGAAGAAATTCATCACAAATTAGGGGCCCATTTGTGTCACCTGCCTCTAAAGTCGGAGGCTCTGCAGCAGACGAAGCCCTGTGTTGCTGGGGAGAAGGTGGCTTCACGGACACTCCCGTTTCAGTGTGACTGCCTTTGGGGCCTATAGGGGGCACTAAGGAACTATGGGATCTTGTTGCCTCTGTGGCGGGGTCAGCGCTCAGACCTCCAGCCAACCCAGCCAGCAAGAAGAAGGAATGGGGCTGGGGCTGGGACAAGGGTCGGTTATAGTGGGTAGAAATGAAATCGCCCCTTCCCCATTCTTCTTAAAGATCTAAAATGCAGAGCACCTGATTTTAAAGTTCAGAAGAAAATGTCTCCCCTCCGCAATGAGAACTTGACATTTCTGTCACTGAATCTTAGACTAGAAAGGGGCCTTGGAGATCAGCCAGTCCTCACTATTCATTCAGCAGATGAGAAACTGGAGTCCCGAGAAGGAAAGTGATGGATCCAAAGAGAGGCAGGGCGTTAGCAGCAGGGCTGGGCCGCAGGCTGGGCCTTCCAACTTCCAGCAGAGTGTTCTTTCCACCACACCACACCCACCGTCTTGGCCACGTTTGTTCTCTTTTCTGGCCCTGGGGGGACTCTGGCAGGGCTGGGGGTCTGATGTGAACTGGAATCTGTTCAGTTGCACCTCTCATTGCTCCTGCCAGCTCGCCAGCTCTGGCTGATGGAGGCAATTAGAACCAGACATCCCATAAGGCCATTCCAGAAAGATCTCTTAAAATTCCACAGCAGCTGGGGACTTGCCTTTCCCTGCAGGGTTCATCTGGTGTGTAAATACCTAGTTGTGTAAGGCACAGGGTTGGGGGGCCATGCTTACACATACACAGTCTCTCAACCCACATTCACCCACAGATAGAAAAATAGAGAAATATTCAGTAGGAATTCCTTTCCTTTCTACCTCCCAAAGAGAGAAGTGAAGAATTTACAGGCCACCCTGGGAACATTTAATTACTTGCTGCTGAGGGATGGGCACTGTATTTGCACTGGGCAGTGGGTGGCAGAGGGTGGGGGACATCCCTGGTTTTCTTCCTTGCACCGCAGAGGGCTGCTTCCCACCACTGGGTTCTGAGGAAGGCCAAGCAGTGTTTGTGGCCAGCTTAGCAAATATGCAGTCCAGGAGCCTGGCTCAAAGATGTTGCCTCAGTTTATCTGTGGGAGCCTTGAGGCACCAAAAGACAAAATGGCAGAGCAAGGAATCCAACCCAGGACCACTGGCTTTGATTAACCTGTTCAATGATCTCCAGTGACTGTAACATCAAAACTGAAGGGCAGATCCTGGCTCATGAGTTGATGGAGCCCTCTCTTTCTCAGGACTCCCATTTCACAGTTCTCACCAGTCAACCTTGCTTTGGCCAGCAATGTGCTGCTGTTAGTTGGCCAGTGTTTAAGTAGACCCAGAGGGCCTTTTGTTAGAAGTCAGTGGGAAACAGCCAAAGCATTGCAAAGGCAGATGGAAAAACCAGACACGTTCTCTAACCTGAGGGAGCACCTAGTTCCACTGTGATTTACAGGAGGCTAGAAGGGGAAGGAAAGGGTCATCATTCTGACAAGTCTACATACCAAATTGGTTGCAGAGCTTAAGAGAGAGCCCACATCTTCTGTTTCCCAGACTAGAGTGTTTTCAACACCATCACACCACCACTCCCAACTCCTCCCTTTGAGGTTGCATTTGGCCTGACTATCCCATGAGAGTAGTGTAAAACAGTGTTAAAAAATTAAATCAGGTCATGATTACTATAATTTTTTATTGGGTAGGCCCAATAACTCTGAGCACCTTTCGAAAATCTGTCCTGGGACTTGTGGTTAATTGGTGATTAATCACCGATCCATTTATTAGATGATTTCACATTACCAATTGATGTTATCTCTGTACTCCCCATTTTCCAGTGATCTCCTCTTGCTGACATCCCTTAGATCTTCTATCTGTGTTCCAGATGTGGCATTTTGCAGACTTAGCACTCAGGGAGAGAAGAATGAATCCATCAGTTCGTTCTGCTGCTGATTTTTGTGTTTGGAAGTAGAAGTGCATTTGTTTATTTACTTATTCAACATCAAACACTTGCTGGTGCTGGGAAAGGTACCAGGTGCTGGGGTAGTTGCTGGGGAATAGAGGGACAGAGAACTTGGTTTTAAGGGATTTAAATTTTGGTAGAGGGAGACAGAACATACCCACAATTAGCTCTAATATAGAGAATAAGCCCTACAAGAGAAGGAAAGATGAAGTGAGCTCAGAGGGAAAAATCACTTGGAGAATAGGGGGGAGAGCAATCAGGGAGGAGTTCCTGGAGGTGGTGGCATTAAAGTGATGCCTAGAAGGATGAGTGCTTCTGCTGTGCAGAGACTGGGGAGGTGGAAGAAGTGGGGCAAGGCATTCTAGGTGGGGGAAGGCAAACAGGAAGGAGAGCCATGGCTTGTTAGCAATCATGAGAGGGTCAGTTTGGCTGATTAGGCTGGTTGGCTGGAGGCAGTCCTTGGATGGTGACGGATATCAAGTGAAGAAGTTTGGGCATCAGGCATGGAGAAACCACCATGGCTTCCTGAGTGGACAAGCCATGTGGGCATCACTACCCTAGAGAAGGGTGAGCAGCAGCAGCGTGGACTGGGTGGGCATGCACACACTGTGACTGCCTTGCCCCGGAGCACCTCTCTGTCCTGTAGTCACTCAGAGCTCTGCTGTGTGTCCATCTCTCCCACTCCCCCAGCATGAATCCATAGACCCCAAGAAAGACCTGCACTGTCTTGTGTTTGAATGATGACCCCCTGGCAGAACTCAAACCACACACCCTGCTGAATGGAACTCTCTTTTTCCTTTCCATAAAACCAGAGAAGTATGCAGAAACCTCGAAGGTCATCAATTCCGACATCCAGTTGATGCTTAGATTTCCTCCATTGCTTCTCTGCAAAGCGATTGTCTGTTCCATGCTTAAATATCTCCAGTGATGGTGAGCTCACTACTTCAAGAGGCAGTCCATACTCAGGGTAGTCCTGGACTCACTAATAGAATGGACGGAGCCTGCACCATCCCCATTTCTGCCTCACCCTCGCCCGCTAGCACTGTGACAAGACATCTGTCCACATGTGTTGAATAGCCCTGAAAGAGAGAGATCCCCTTACCCCAGAGCACATGAATTTCCCAGAAGGTCCCTGGAGTAAAAATCTGGTATTAATTGTACTCCTGTTTGGGCAGCACTTTAGAGTTTGCAAACGGCTTTCACAGGCTTTATTGTTCTAGTGCCCACAACACCACTGTGAACAATGCTGTGGCATTTCCATTTTATGTATCAGGAAACAACTCCAAAGGGAACTCGCCCCAGGTTGAACATTGTGTAAACGTCAAAGCCAGGATCCTACTCCCGTTTCTTCTGACTCTAAATCTTGGAATTTTCTCAGCAAACCAGGTAAGCAGGGAGGTCTGTCCCCAAACACTAGCCTTGGGATGTTTTTTTTTTCATTAAACAACGTATTATGGATATAATTATTTGAATCAAAGGGGCAGGATGGTGTGTGTGTGTGTGTTTGTGTGTGCTTGCATGCAAGGCCACGGACGTGCCATGGAGGTACTTTATACTAAGCTGAAATACTTGACTAACAGGTTTCCTCTTCCTGTTTCTCTTCTAGAAGTCTTACCATGGCCCTGTCTCAGGGCACTCAGCCCCAAAGTGGTGGAGCAAGAGCACTCCAATCGGCACCACATGCTGAGCAATTGAGCTAGCATGCTGATAGAGGCAGGGACGACACAGGCCTTGTCATCGATAACAGGATGAATACTGAGGGCCATCAGCCCATGAGTTCTTTGCTCGTCTATCCTAGAAAAAGGAATGTTTTCAAATACCTCCACTATCAATCACCAAGAAAAAAACATTTGTTATTCATTGTTTTTTGTGTCCTCTGATGTAACGTTTTATCCAGGAGTTCAGGGACCTCAGTTTCTTTATTTGTAAAATGGGCATAGGTGTGTGTGTGGCGGGGTGTGGTGGGGGGCGGTAACCATGGAGGCATTGGACCAGTTGTTCAAAAGGGACCTTCTCAGTTCTAGGTATTTGTTTGGTTTGGTTTGGTTTTGAGACGGAGTCTTGCTTTTGTCGCCCAGACTGGAGTGCAATGGCATGATCTCGGCTCACTGTAACCTCCGCCTCCCGGGGTCAAGTGATTCTCCTGCCTCAGCCTCCCGAGTAGCTGGGATTACAGGCGCCTGCCACCACGCCCGGCTAATTTTTGTATTTTTAGTAGAGATGGGGTTTTGCCATGTTAGCCAGGCTGGTCTTGAACTCCTGACCTCGTGATCCACCACCTCAGCCTCCCAAAGTGCTGGGATTACAGGCCTAAGCCACTGCGCCCAGCCCCTTCTAGGTTCTGAAAGAGGGAAAAAAAATGTAACGTGGTTCCAAAATTGACAGTGACCCAGGTGTAGTGATGAAGGAATAGATTCATGCATGTGCAGTTGCCAAAGACAGAGAACCTCCAAGCGGCCCTGGGGCTGTGCTTGTCTGCCCAGTGAGGGGATGCATGAGGAGACTGCAGAGACCGCTCCTAACAGGGCTGCTGTGTGATCCCACCAAAACATTGCAAAGAACTTGCTACAAAGTTTGGGGGAATTGCTGTCCATAGTTTCAAATAAGATGTTGCAGAATGACAACATCAGGGTGGCAAGATATGTCCAAAAGAATACTGAAGCAAGACAGAAGACGGCTGGAGGTTAGACTTATGAACTGGGTAGGGCTGGTGATGGTGAGGAGGAGAGAGAGGGTCAGCTCATTCAGAAACACCCAAGGGAAGAGCACCAGGAATCCAAAAGGGGTTGCCCTGTAGGGCACCTGCCCAGGGATGTATGGACAAAAGATCTGGCTTCAAGCCAGCCTCACCACTTACTAGCTGTATAACTCTGAACAATTAATAGCACCTGCCTCAGACTCAGTTTCCTCAGTGGGGAAATGGGAAGAATACTCCCTACCTTACAGAGCTGCTGAGAGAGTTAAATTACATGGAATATGTGGAAATGCTTAACAGAGTCCATTCATACATTCAGCAAGCATGTGTTGCGTGTCTGCTGTTTGCCTGGAAAATAGTAAGTACTCTATCACTACATTAAAAATATAAAGTCGGATAGAAAATGCATTCTTTGAAGTCTAGAATAATCCTTAGGTATTAGGGAAGTTCGTAAATGAAACCATCGAAAAGATAGGTGAGTTGTTTGTTATTCATCATTTTGGGTATTTGTTGGTGGAGAGAGCTGAGCTATTCAGTGAATTCCGGTACTGGCAAGATTAAATGGAGGGGAAGGACGGAAAAAAGCCGTCTCCTCCAACAGAGAAGAAAGACAAAGGCCTGAGCTTTCACAGCCTGAGCTTGGGCTAATTAAACCAGTGTTGTAACATTTTTCTTTTCTTTTCTCTTTTCTTTTATATACAGGGGTTTTGGGGCTCTATCATCTTTGCCACAACACTGGACACAGAAGGCTTCTCTAACTGTGTTTTAGCCCATTTGTTCCTCATTTGGGATCCTTAGAATTTTTAGGGGTCCATGAGGATTGGAGTAGGGATTTGTGACATACTTTCAAAATTTCAAACATCATACAAGAAACCATGTGTCCTTACAATGAGGTTTTATTTGGCTAGAAGATTAACCAGTCATGTTGATCAGAGGCTCTGGTGTATGCTTTGATGAATAAAAAAGAGAAATAAAATAAAGGCTGCTGCTTAACAAGTTCAATGTGTTGAGAAGTCAAAATTCTTTCAAACATAGAGCATAGAGCAGTTGGAGATATAATAAAGAAAGAGTAAACATATAATTGAAAACGTTAGTAGCACTTCAACCCAACTCTCCCATTTTCCAGTTGAAGACCCAGAGGCCAGGGAAGTAAAGACATTTCTAAGGTCAGAGCTGGTCAGTGACGAAGCCAGACCCAGAGCCCAGGTCACCAGGCCATGGGGCTTTTTACTGCCTCAGTGATCGTGAGCCTGGTTTTAAAATTGACTGCATTCATCTGGAGGTGTTAGTGAAAACAAGTCACCTTCCTAAAGTCATTGCCTGGGTATCAAAGGCAAGAAGGATGCTACAGAGGACTTTTCCTTGGGCTTCTCTTCATTTGAGTGCAGTCACCTGATGGGTTGTTAGTCCAGCTCATGTTTGGCTGATGTAATTTCCCAAGGCAAGGACAAGACTGACAGGCAGGAACGCCCGGGGAGGTCCTTGGGGGAGATGAACATCCTCTTTTTATCTTCAAAGCAAATGTTCAGGAAGAGAAATGGCAACACTTCCCAGAATTCAGGCTGAAGCAAAACACAGATGACATATTGGACTGGCATCTCATCCGTGAGATAGGGGGACGTGACCGTCAGGGGTCGCTGAGGAAATGAATGAGTAAATTTATCTTACAGAGGTCAGTAAATAAGGGAATGGGATGTGTAAGAAACAGCTCCTGTCTGTAAAAGGAGCAGATGGATAAATCTAGGTTTTCCAAACAGAGGGGCTCACAGTTGTGAGCTGTTGAAGAAAGGTATTTAGTTAAAACGTCTGTCTCAAGGTTATTGGTAAATAGCCAAAACTAGGGCACAAGAATTCTGGGAAAATTAGATAAGATGAATTTAGTTTCACAATGGCTAAGGGGCCGTGTATTTCTATTAGGGAAGGCTATATATGCTTCATTCAGCAGCATCTAATGATTACATTTGGAACATGCAATTGCTGTTTCTGTTTTGGGGGCTATCACAATTTAATGAAATATCTGGTCTGGATTTCTTCAGGCAGTTGGTCTCTTCAGTTTCCACAGATTTAAGATTCTATCCTCTCCCTGCTTTCTTCCAATGAAGTTGACGTACTGTGATTCCAACTGGATAAACTTAATAGTCACACATAACTTTTGACTAGAAATAGGTGGACTGTAAGTAATCATTTAGTCTTACTTTTTGAAGATCTAAAGTCATGTGGAAGCCTAAGTGGCTGTTTGAACCCAGACATCACTCCTAAAGGCATTCCTTTTCTTTATCCCGTCATTCCACAAACACTTATTAATCACCGACAGCAAGCAAGGCACAGGGAAAGGCACGGGAGGAGGGGCTCCGGGTGTGGGAAGATGGCCAAACACACGGTCCTCACACCAAGTAGTAAGTAGTCCTCACTACACAGAATCTGGTAGAGAAGTTGGAAAGTGAGTTCTTCCCAGCAACGACTAACGTTCTAACCATCACATCTCAACAAGTATTTAATGAGGTAGAAAATGCTCGCGGCAAAACTGTGGATACAATATGCTTTGAATAAGAAAATATTGGTCTCCTTCCATGACACACATGCTCCAGAAGCCCAGATGTCAGCCACAGCACTGCCCTCTCTGCTTGGAACTAACCCTTCACGAAGCCCTGGAGATGATGGTGTCCTCATGGTCCCTGACTCTGTCTGCTTCTTCGTGTCTCCCACTGCCATTTGAGGCTGAGTCACCGTCTCTCATCACTACAGCCCCCTCACTGCCCACCTGTGTCCACTCCTGCCTCTTCCACATGGCAGCCTCCTGGATCTTCCACGAAAGCAAATCTGATTTTTATGCCACGTCTCCCCACAGTGGCTTCTATTGTTCTTAAAGTTAAAACATCTTAAAGTGGACTGTGAAGCCCTGCACAACCTGGTGTCTCCCTGCCACCTGGACCCTGACCCCCTCTTTTTTTTTTTTTTTTTTTTGAGATGGAGTCTCCCTCTTCCGCCCAGGCTGGAGTGCAGTGGCACAATCTGGGCTCACAGCAACCTCCGCCTCCCAGGTTCGAGCAATTCTCCTGCCTCAGCCTCCCGAGTAGCTGGGATTACAGGTGCCCACCACCAGGCCTGACTAACTTTGTACTTTTAGTAGACACGGGGTTTCACCATGTTAGCCAGGCTGGTCTTGAACTCCTCACCTCAAGTGATCCACCCACCTCGGCCTCCCAAAATGCTGGGATTACAGGCATGAGCCACCCCGCCCGGCTGACCCTGACCCTCTTTACTCCAGCCACGCTGCTCTTCTTCCATCCCCCCATACTCACGGGGTCCCTCCTCTCGTAGGGCCTTTGTACATTCGACTCCCGCCAGCAAATCCCGTTCTTCCCCTCTTCACCTGGCTGTTGCTGACTCATCCTTTAAGTATCAAACTGCTTGTCATTCTCCTGGGAAAAATGTCCTCCACCCCTCTGTCTACATTAAATTTTCCACTTACGTGCAACTAGAGCTTCATGTGCATCTTCTTTATAGCCCTAAAGATGCTTTAACTTTAATTTTGTGTGCAGTTATTTGATTAATGTCCAGTTCTCCTATTAGACTGTGAACTCGTGAGAACAGGACAAATGACTGTGTGGTACAGTAGTGACTCTCAAGTATATTTTGACAGAATGAAGGATGATCTCATGCTTGGCCCCTAGTAGGTGTTCATTAAAGTAGCTGGATGAATATGGGAAGAAGAGAAGCAATAGTAATTAAGAAAGCTGGGTCCCAGCACTTTGGGGGCCAAGGTGGGTGGATCACCTGAGATCAGGAGTTCGAGACCAGCCTGGCCAACATGGTGAAATGCTGTCTCTACTAAAAATACAAAAATTAGCCAGGCATGGTGGTGGGCACCTGTAATCCAAGCTACACAGGAGGCTGAGGCAGGAGAATCACTTAAACCCAGGAGGCGGAAGTTGTAGTGAGTCAAGATCATGCTACTGCACTCTAGCCTGGGTGACAACGTGAGACTTCGTCTCAAAGAAAAAAATAAATTAGCCAGGTATGGTGGTGCATGCCTGTAGTCCCAGCTACTCAGGAGGCTGAGGGACAAGAATCGCTTGAACTTGGGAGGTGGAGGTTGCAGTGAGCTGAGATCATGCCACTGAACTCCAGTCTGGGTGACAGATTGAGACTTGGTCTCAAAACAGCAACAAGAAGAAAGCTGGGTCCTAGTCCCTGATGCTCTGCTGACTTGCTCAGTGGCCTGTCCTTCTCCAAGCATCAGGGCCTCCTACCCAGCATGCAGGGGTGAGCCACTCTGCTGCCCACCAGGGGTCTGAAGGACCTGAAGTTGAATCCTAGCTCCCACTGTCTGGATGTATGATTTTGAGCCTATTTTACTTCTGTGAAAAATTCTTATGTTTAAAGTCTCTCCAAGTCCTAAAAGTTGAGAAATCTGTGAGGGCCTGCACTATACCAGTAGCAGCAAGAATGGAGAGGAGATGGATAAAAGAGAGATTTCACATTAAGTGATGAAGTAAACCAGTGGTTCTTAAAGCAGGATCCCAGACCAGCAGCATGAACATCACCTGGGAACTTGCTGGAAATGTGAAGTCCACAGCCCCACCCCAGATCTACCGAGTTAGAAACTATGAGGATGGGTCCCAGGGGAAAAAAAAAAAATTAGCCGGGCATGGTGGTGTGCACCTGTAGTCCCAGCTACTTGGGAGGCTGAGGTAGGGGAATTACATGAACCTGGGAGGTGGAGGTTGCAGTGAGCCGAGATCAGCCTGGCGACAGATCGAGAATCTGTCTCAAAAAAAAAAAAAAAAAAACCCCTCCAGTAGGTTCTGAGGCATGCTCTCAAGTTTGAGAACCACTAGGTTGGAGGCTGAGGGTGAGGAAGAAGGAAATGTTGAGGGCAGAGGAGGAAATGTAGCCATCTGGCACTCTGAGAGCTTGACTTGCCTGTCTCCTAATAGTATTGACTCCCTGACTTGTAGGAGCTGTCTGTAGGGCACAGGAGGTTCGGGGTAGGGATTTTATGTAGGTCATCTACAGACAGAAAACTCACTTTTACGAGGGATATATAGGAAGTTATAATCAGGGAGAAACTCACCTCCTGATTTCATGAGATGTCCCAACACAGCATGAAACAGGACAAGGCCCTGGGAAACGGGACCATCTCATGCACCTGTGTCCTGAAACATCTGGCAATCCTAGACACAGGGAGAGTCAAACAGCACTGAAGAGACTTCACTACTTCCTTTCCCCGGAAACATCCGGGGCCTGAGTGATCCATTTGTGCCTGAGCGATCCCTCTCCTAATAAGGACTCCAATAGGCACTGTACAATTCCCAGGAATGCTTTCTATTCTTGCCAAATAATCAAAACACTGAGGAGGTAGAACCTGGAGGGGGTGTCCAAACACAAACCCACCCATGTCACCACAAAGTTTCGCACAATAAACCCAACATCTGGTTTCTTGTCTGTGTGATTACCACTGGGATGCTGTGGAGACCAGGGACCCATTGTTGTAAATCCACAGAACTTGGAACCCAATCAACTCTTTCCTCACACTGTGCTGATGTATTTTGTGCATGTTTTGGCCATATTATTTTTCTGTTTGCTTGTTTTAATCAATATGGTACACACACACACACACACACACACACACACACACACACACGTATGTTGACAACCATTATCTTTATTTTTTAAATATTCTTTTGTAGCTGCCAAAGTTTTTTTCAAGGAATACCTGTCATCATTGTCAAAAGTATTTAAAAGCTAGTGTTCAATGGGAGGGATTCTCTGGAAGATGAGGCTAGAGGAATATGTTCATTTATTTGCTCATATAAAATATATTTATTGAGTACCTATTATGTCTCAGTCACTGTTCTAGGCACTGGGAGACAGCAGTGAATAACATAAAGAAGTTCAAGCCCTCATGGATCTTATAGCCCGCTGGGGAAGACAAACTATAAGTGTCATTAGATAAGCAAACAGGATATCAGACTGTTATACGTGCTGTTAAAAAAAAATGAAGCAAAAACAGAGGGTAGGGAGGGTCAGAGCAGAAGGGACTATTTTATTTTGGGTAGTCAGGGAAGACCTCCGTGCTAAGGAATCTAAAAGAAACAAGAGAATGGGCCCTGCAGACATGAGGGCACTCCAGGCAGAGGGAAGGGCAGGTGCAAAAGCCCTGAGATAGGAACTTGCCTCCAGTATGCAAGGCCCAGTGTGGCTGAGTGGAAGAGGCACTGGAGCAAAGAGTAGAGATGAGTTGAGGGAGACAGAGAAGGTCCAGCTATCACAGGGCCTTGTAGGCCACTATAATGAATGGTGCTTTTACTCTGAGCAAGGTGGTAATTACAGATTTTGGACACAGGGGTTATATGGTCTGACTTCCGAGTTCTAACAGCAGCATTCTGGCTGCTATTTGAAAATAATAGTAGCCGGGCGCAGTGGCTCATGCCTGTAATCTCAGCACTTTGGGAGGCCAAGGCAGGTGGATCACAAGGTCAAGAGTTCGAGACCAGCCTGGCCAAAATGGTGAAACCCCGTCTCTACTAAAAATACAAAATTTAGCCAGGCATGGTGCCAGGCACCTGTAATCCCAGCTACTTGGGAGGCTGATGCAAGAGAATCGCTTGAATCCGAGAGATAGAGGTTGCAGTGAATCGAGATCGCACCACTGCACTCTAGCCTGGGTGGCAGAGCAAGACTCTGTCTCAAAAAAAAAAAAAAAAAAAAAAAAAGAAAGAAAAGAAAGAAAAGAAAGAAAAAGAAAATAGTAGCAGAGCAGGGGAGAAACCAGCAGAGCAGGGGAGAAACCAGCAAGCCTGGTCAGGAGGCTTGGCAATAATCCGGATGAGAGATCAGGAGGTTTGCTTAGGGTGATAGCCGTAGAAGTGGTAAGCAGTAAGAACTCCAAGTCTCTTCCAAAGTTAGAGACAACAGGATTTGCTGGTGGATTGGATGTGGGACAGAGAGAAAAGGTACAGCCAACCAATAAAAGCTATCAAGTTTTTGTTTTTTGCAACTGGATGAATGGAACTGTCTTTTAGCTAAGACAGGAAGGACTCTGGAGATAGGGAGGATGCATTGGGAGCTCAGTTTAGAGAATTTCAATTTGAGAAGTCAGTAACACATACTGAGGATAGAATTTAGAGAGATGTACTAATAAATGTGTAGTTTAACCCAAAGACAACCTAGAAATACAATTTCCAGTGAAGCTGGGAAAGGTATACTGCAGGAGAGGAAATTACAGGCAGAAGACACACTGGGAAACCATGGCCCTAGAACTGACGAGGAGGCCTCAGCATGATGTGACTGAGGTCAAGGCTGAGAGATGAAGCTAAGCCATGTTCTCCAGCAGGTCACGAAGATTGGCAACCCATTACAACACACACTGTGAAATAAATTCCCACGTTCTAGCCAATGGCCCCCTTCTAAAATCATGGCCAGGACATCAAAACTGCAGGGTCACGGAGGAACTGAGGCCGTTATTTCAAGTTCTGACCATGGGTAAAACACAAGACTTTGCTGATTTGAATATTAATCGATAACACTCCAGCTTCAGTTTAAATACAACTTGGGCCTCTGCATAAGTAAAAACTGAGCAGAGTTTTGCTCTTACCATGCTGTGATCCTGCCGTTATCTTCATCTGGCAGGGACTTCCTCTCCTGTTAAAACTTTTAAGCATTCCTTCTGTGCCGTATCTGTTACACAGAGCAATACATAATGGACTAGACAGGATTATTGGCCCAAATGACAAAACCAGATGTGATATGGAAGTTTTTTTCCTATAACCACACATACATCTTTGGCCTCACACAGCTGTTCATTGTAAATAGGAAGATTCACACAATGGGCGAGATGGGGTGCAAAACCCACCATCCACATTCCTTTAGGGGTAGGAAGTGGAGAAGGGGCATTCCTCAGGTCTTGTCTCCTGGCCCCAGCAGGTGTGAGCTGTTGCCTACAGGATGTGATCTGCAGATTGTGAAGGGGCCACCTTCTAGAGGACAGCATGGTAGCAAAAACCTCTTGGGATGGGAACCTGGGCCCCAGTGCTGCCGTTTCATGTCCCGAGATTTGGGACAAGTCGTGTCAGCACTCCAAGCCTCAGTGTGCTTCATCCATGCAGTGGGGATGAGAGAGTCCTTGTCCTAAAAATGTCTTTCTCAGGTTTTTAAAGTTAGGATTATGTTGGCCTCATAAAATGAGATGGGAAATGGTCATTTCTTTTCTTTTTTTCTGAGAGCTTCTGTAAAATGGGTCTATAAGTATGTGATAGAAGTCACCAGTGAGACCATCTGGGTCTGAAGCTTTCTTTGTGGGAATGTTTTTGAATAAGATGATGAATTGAAATTTTTGAATAGAAATTGGGCTGCTTAGATTTTCTGTTTCTTGTTGAGTCAGCATTGGTAAGTTATGTTTTTTGAGACATATGTTCCTTGAAATAAATTATTGACTTTGTTGACAGAGTTCATAGTATTCTTTTATTATCCTTTTAGTGTCTGTAGGATCTATAGGATATCCCTTCTTTCATCCTTGAAATAAGTCATTTATGTTTACTTTATTTTTTTCTTGATTAATTCATAAGGATTTGTAAAGTTTATTAATCTTGTCAAAGAATAAAGCGTGGCTTTGCCAATTGTTTCTATTTGGAGTATGGTTTTTATTTCATTGCTTTCTGGTCTTTCATTTATTTCTTTTTTCTTATGTTCATACTTTTTTTCTCCGTTTTAGATTTAATGTGTTATTTTTCCAGCTTTCTAAGGTAGATACTTAGATCATTGATTTTAAACCTTTCTTCTTTTTAATATAAGCATTTAAGCTATAAATTACCATCTAAGCAATGCTTTAGTTGCATACCATACATTTTGGTATGTTGTATATTCATTATCAGTCAGTTTAAAATATTTTCTTTTTTCTTTCTTTCTTTTTTTTTTTTTTTTTAAGACACAGTCTCCCTCTGTTGCCCAGGCTGGAGTGCAGTGGCACAGTCTTGGCTCACTCAGCCTCTACCTCCCAGGTTCAAGTGATTCTTATGCCTCAGCCACCCAAATAGCTGGCATTACAGGCGTGCTCCACCAAGCCTGGCCAATTTTTGTGTTTTTAGTAGAGACCGGGTTTCACCATGTTGGTCAGGCTGGTCTCAAACTCTTGGCCTCAAGTGATCCGCCCACCTCGGCCTCCCAAAGTGCTTGGATTACAGGTGTGAGCCACCACGCCTGGCCTCAAAATATTTTCTAACTTCCCTTTTAATTAATTCTTTGACCCAGGTCCAAGTTCGAAGCATGTTATTTAATTTCTAAATATTTGGAGGATTTTCTAGGTATCTTATTGTAATTGGCTTGTAGCTTAGTTTTGTTTGCTGGAAGAATACATTCTGTAATACTTCAATTATTGGAAACATTTTGAGATATATTTTGGGCCTCAGCAAATGTTTGATCTCAGTCAATGTTCTATTTGCAGCTGAAAATCATGTGTATTTATACTTATTGGGTGTGGAAAGTTCTATAAATATCAATTAAGTTGTGTTGTTTGGATCTATATCTTTACTGTTTACTTTTTTGTATACTTGTCCTATTAATTACTAAGAGAGGGATTCATAGCAAGCTTTTTAAAGCATAAATCAGAATATGGCCTTCCCAGTGTAAATTCCTCAAAGTCATCTTAGTGCATTTAGAATAAAATCTAATCTAGCCTGGGCAACATGGCAAAACCCTGTCTCTACAAAAAATACAAAAAAAAATTAACCAGGCAGGGTGGTGCACGCCTGTGGTCCCAGCTACTCGGGAGGGTGAGGTGGGAGGCAGAGGTTGCAGTGAGCTGAGATCACGCTACTGCACTCCAGCCTGGGTGACAGAGTGAGAGACTGCGTCAAAAGAAAAAAAAAAAAAAGGAATAAAATAGAATCTTGCCCTGACCTGTAAGAGACTATATAATTCATTTCACGTCCTTCCCTCAGATCTCCTCTTCTAGGACACCAGCCACCTCCCCACCCTAAACACTAATTATACACCAGTCACTCTGGCTTTTTCTCTGTTCTCTTAACCCACTAAATCTATTCCTCAGGACTTTTGCATTTGCTATTGCTGTTCCCTTAGCGTGGGCTTATATCTTCACCCAGATGATCGCACAGCTACCTCCTTCACACCCCTTAAACCCAAATGTCATTGCCCCAGAGATACCTCCCAGGACCTCTCTATCTGGAGCATTCTTTATCACATCACCCTGAATTATTCTCTTTCAATAATTTTTAACTATTAAAATTAACCCCTTTTATTAATTTTTTTGTGTTTATGGTTTGTATGTTAGTTGTGTTCAATGCTCCATTTCTAAAGCTGAGAATAGAGCTGGCTTGTAGTGGATATTCAATAAATACTTGTTGTATGATTGGATCATGGTTGGAAGGATGGGTGGATAGACTATCAGTATCTAACGCCATTCAATATTATCTGTCTTGTTTCATAACTGTCTCCATTTAGGTGTTATGACTGGGCTGTGAGGTCTTTGAAAACAGGAACTCATTCTACTTTATCTCTATCTCTATGTCTCTGACACAGCAGAGCAATTGCCCAGTAAATAATTGTTGGACAAAACTATGGATGGCCCAGGTGCTTTCAGAATACTCTGTACACACCTGTCAGCAGTCACTTTATTGCATAACTGTTCTCAATCAACTAAGCCAGAGTTTGGCACAGGGCCTCGTACATAATGTATGCTCAATACATGCTAGCAGAAAGAAAGAAGAAAAGAGGGGGCCGGGTGCGGTGGCTCACACCTGTAATCCTAGCACTTTGGGAGGCCGAGGCAGGTGGATCACAAGGTCAGGAGTTCGAGACCAGCCTGGCCAACATAGTGAAACCCCATCTCTACTAAAAATACAAAAATTAGCCAGGCATGGTGGCGCGCGACTGTAGTCCCAGCTACTTGGGAGGCTGAGGCAGGAGAATTGCTTGAACCTGGGAGGCGGGGGTTGTGGTGAGACGAGATTGCGCCACTGAACTCCAGCCTGGGTAACAAAACAATACTCTGCTAAAAAAAAAAAAAAAAAGAAAAGAAAAGAAAAGAGGGTAGGAAGAAACCTGTCACAGCTCTGATGAAAGCATTAGCTGCAAATTTCAAGTCTGGGGCCCCAAGATCAAAATGTTAGAAAGGGTCTCCTTGCCCGTTAGTTACTTTGAGAAGTCAGAAGAACTACAGTTCCTCAGTGGATGTTACACTTACCAGGTGTGGGATGCTCCCATCACAGGCAAAGGAAGCAGGGCTATAGAAATGGTTTATTCCCCTATAGCCCTGTAGTATAGAACAGATGTCACAGCAGTTGCCCAGAAAAATGGTGACCAAAGCATTTTCATGTACATCTGATTAGCCGTGAAGGCTTAATTGTTTCTTAAATGTTTGTTGGAAAAGAATACTTTCTAGTGAAGAAGAAAGAACAAAAAATGTGCACCACAGACCATGAAATCATTTCTGCTCCGATCGTTGAACATCCAGTGTCTTTTCCTTTAAAGGATTCAAATTAACCTGGGACTTATAGAAGTTTTGTCACTGTTGCATGAAACACTGATTTCATTAGAACTCCCAGAACTTCTCTTCCACTGCACCGCGAGCTTTGTCTGTGACAGCTTATTCACTCTCTCCTCCCATGCCTAGCCACAGGCTTGACCCTAGGTTGCACTTAGCAAGTGGGCTTTGAGTTGAAAAAACGCAGACTTGGAAGCTGCATTGTTCTCGCCTGAGGTGGATAAATATTGAGGTGGTCAATCAACCTTTGTGGCCCACCATCCCCTGCTCCCTGCAGCCCACCTGCACCAATGATGGCTGTGCAGATCCATGGTGGGGCTGCCCAAGTTTCTCCTCAGCTTCATTCACTTTATCCAGAATGAGAAGGAGAGCCAGGGTTAGGTCAGGTTTTGACATATGATAGTTCTGATTCCATGAAGTAAGTAACTAGCTAAACCATTACAGAATATTGGGTATTTGTGGAAAATCTGCCATTTGGTTTCCTTAGACGGTGATATACAATTCTGGAGAGGTGTGAATATCAGGATTGACTTATTTTGGTCTATAACCCTGTACTATGTTCTAGTAATAAAAATGATAAATCCTATATGTAGAAACAAAGGCTAGCAAGTGCCCAAAAGACAGGGTAGAAATGGATGAAAATTGCAGACTTAAATCTGGATTCCTATGTATATCATTTACCCATCAGATCCTAATGAAATGCTAACACAGGACTCCTAAGATAAATATCTCTGATGTTACATTATATAAAATGAGGTTTATAATAAAAATTTTTAAGATTAAGATTGTTGTTTGGTGGGGGGAGGGATAGCATAAGGAGATATACCTAATGTAAATGATGAGTTAATGGGTGCAGCACACCAACATGGCACATGTACACATATGTAACAAACCTGCACGTTGTGCACATGTACCCTAGAACTTAAAGTATAATAATAAAAAAAAAAAAGAAAAAAAAGAAACTGGAGATATTTTCTGGTTTATATGACTTTCTAAAAGGCATTTTTAAAGTATAATCTATATATCCATGATGCATATTACGGCATCCAAATTTACAGGCTTATTTTTAAATGAAAGAAAAAGAAAAATCTATCAGAAAAAGTCAGAGCCGGATGGAGCCTTTATGTGTAGATGGTCCACGCTGTCTGTAAATAAGCAGGTTGGCCTTCAGCAGGGGTTTCCAAACTCTGGTTCTTGGACCGGGGCCAGCTCCCGCTGCCTGCTGCATCACCTTGCAAACTTATTAACCAGGCAGATTGCCAGGCCGCATCCCTGGAGGCTCTGAGTCAGCCAACTCAGTCTGGGAACCATTGGATTTAAGGCGCTTTCCCAGACATGAGATTCAAGAAGCCTGTGACTCCAGGCTTATCCCTGTCCTTCATCACTAAGGATGGTCAGCGTGAGGATAAAAATGGCATTAGGTCCATCTGTACTGGGACTGGGCCTCTGTGTTAGAAAGGACTTTGGGTCCTCAATCGTTGTTGAAACTTTTTAATTCATAAGTGACACTTTTCTGGTTGCCATATACAAACCTACAGCTCTAGCCACACTGATCTCATTCATTCATTTGTTCACTTGTATCACAAACATTTACTGAGTGCCTACTGAGAATGCAGTTGTCAGTTCTGCTTTTAAGTCCAGTGACAACAGCAGGCACGTACACAGATTTATGACCCAATGATTATGGAGAAAGAGCAAAGTATTAGGGTAGCATCTAGAAGGAACTATCATGATCCATCCCCTAGGGATGAACACATTTCCACTTCAAGCTGAAAAACGAAAAAAATTGCTGGGGAGGCAAATAGACAACCCAAAGTATCTGTCAACAAGGCCATCACAATCATTCAGTAAACCATGTTAATTTCTTAGTTCATAACTGGACCATGGTTATACGAGATGCCAACATTAGGAAAGCTGGGTGAAGGGTGTATGGGAACACTCTATATTATCCATTATCCTTGCAAATCATCTATAAGTTTAAATTTTTAAACAAGTTTTAGAAAATTATCATTTAGATAGAGAAGACAAGGGAGAGACCCAAGGTAGTGACTGTGGGGATAGCTGAGCCAGGCATTTTTGAGAGATTTAGGAGGTAGAATGAAGAGAATTGAGGCATTGTTCAAGTGTGGAAGGATGAAGGAGAGGGGTGCTTTGACCAATAGTGGGACATGGGGCATGATTCCCTGGGCTAGAAGAGGCAGGGTCTGGGAGGAAGGATGGTGAGATCAGAGGTAGGTGTGGTGACTTGGATGTGCTTGTGGGAGCTTCATGTGGAGAAGGTTGGAAGAGCATTTAATATCTAGGTCTGGGGCTCAGAAGAGGGGTTGATGCTACATATAAAGATCTGGAAATCAACAAGGAACAAATGAGGAAACCATGACTATGACAGTAATAGAAATAAGTAAGATGCATGGACTTCTTCTGAAGAGGGTTAGAGATTGATAAATAAAAAATGAGTAGCGGTCAGAGCCTTAGAGGAGCTCGACAGAGAAAGAATAAGTGGAAAAAAAGAATCCAAAGAGGCAGAGGGAACACCAGCCAAGTATGATGTTACAAAGGCCAAAGGGAGGAAGGATTTTCAAGACAGAGGCAAGACCAATACACAGAAAGGTCAAGTAAGACAAGAACAGCAATTAGCGGGTTGTTGGCAACTTTGGTGAGTTTAAATTAATCATTATCTTTCAACTAAATGTTTTGGATAGCACAAAAACAATACGGAAAAATCAGTGAATATTTTAAAGTACCTGCTTTGATGAAACACGCCCTGAGCATCAGTCACCCTGGTATTGTGAAGAATCCATGTGTGATCTTGGGTGTCAGGCAGACCTAAGATCAAACAGTGGCTCTGTCACTTGCCAAGTGAGAGACTTTGAGCAAGTTACTTAATTAACCTTTTCAGTTGCACCTGTAAAATGAGGATAGTACTACACACCTTTCTTGTTGAGGATTAAAGATAATGCATGTAAAGCTTCTACCATGGTGTCTGGCTCATAAAGAATGAAAGCCATTATTATGGGCCAGGTACTCCCCTTCTGGTCTCTAAAGTACCTTATACATCCACCTCCTGTGTCACTGATTATGACTTACTGAAACAACTTGGTCTTTATAACTGTCTCCCAACCCCAGCCTTCACCAGACTGCCAGCTTCTTAAGGATGTCTTATTCAACTTAGTTTCCCCATCAGCCAACACAGAGCAGACATCCAGGAGGTGAACTTGCTGTGCAGGATCAGAAGGAAGCACTGGAGGTGGGCCCTGCCTTAGAGATACTCATGGGAAGATTTCTTCTACGAGATGAAATTGGAGATGCAGGTCTGAAAGCAAGATAGTTGTGTGCTCACATGGGCCTGCAAGGAGCTGAAGGTCATTTTTTAAAGTTTGCAATCAATCTAATTCTGTAAATCTCAAAGAAAGGATGATAAATCAGAGAAACTGAGGAGGACACGTGGTGCAACTTGATAGTTCACTGATTCACCCAAACTCACACAATATGACTCTATAATTATGGAGAGGATACCTTTCTGAATCAAGAAGAAAAAGAAAAACTATAAAAGTCAGGATACATAGTCTAATGAAGGATTGTGAGCAGGCACCAGGTATGAAAGAGAATCTGGAAGGGTAACAGCTTGAATGTCAGGCTATGGGGATTTTTAAGCCATTTTAAGAGCTCCATAAGAAGCATCTCTGAAGCCAGGGCCATCCTAGGCCACCACCAAGTGAGAGCCCAGAGTGGCTCATACACCCACTATGTTAGTTTCCTACGGCTCCCGTAGCAAACGATCACAAGCTGGGTGAAAAATGTATGGCCTCACAATTCTAGAGGCCAGAAGTCTGATACCAAAGTATTGGCAGGGATAGTTCTTTACTGGGGACTCGGAGGGAGAATCTGTGCCTTGCCTCTCTCCTAGCTTCTGGCGGCTGCTGGCAATCCTGCGCGTTTCTTGGCTTTTACAAGCATCACTCCGGTCTCCACCTCTGTCTTCACATGACGCTTCCCCACTGTGTGTCTCTGCGTCCAAATCTTCCTCTTTTTATAAGGACACCAGTCATTGGATTAGGGCCTCCCCTCAATTTAGTATGACCTCATCTTTACTTGATTACATTTACACAGACCCTATTTCCAAATGAGTCACATGCACAAGTCCTGGGGGTTAGAACGTTGACATATTGTTTTGAGGGACACAGTTCAACCTACAAAACTTCCAGGTGCTCCTGCTGCCCTTCCACCCTTGCACACTATTCCCCGGCCTCTGAGAGCTCTGTGCAGTGATTCAGTCTTGCCATATTCTCACCTCTCCATACCTGCAAACATGCTGGGCCTTTTCCCAGGCATGCTCCTTTCAGCCCCTTCTCTTCCACTGGGAAACTAGTTGGGATGTTATCCTTTAAAACTCAGGAGATATTTCCCATTTTCTAGGAAGATTTTCCTCCCTCTCATTGCTTCTCAGAATCACTTGCTGGATTTTCAGTTCCCCCTAAACCCCTCTGTGTATCTTGAGTATGACATTTAGCAAGATAGATTATGACAAATTGTTGACGTGCCTTCTCTTTTCAGTAGACTGCAAGCTTTGTGAAAACAGTAGTCACAGATTTTACCTCTGCATTCTCTATGCCTGCTACACAGTGGATATCCAACTGCTTAAGAGTCAGAATTTGGTAGGAGGCTTAACTCAATGCTCTGTGGCATTGGAGTCTGTTTGAATGGGCCAGTCTGGTCAAGCTAAATTGTGCCATTTCTTCTAGCCCAAACCAACACTTTCCATGGGGTCAAGCGTGGGCTGTCAGTGAATTTCCAACCTAATTTCCTCTCCTTCCCATCTCTGTGGGAGGTCTTTGTGCTGGACCCTGTCAGGCCAAGCCTGATGTGAGCTGACAGGCTGGGCTGGTGGCTCCCCAGTCTGCTCTAAGGGAGGCTGCAAGCAAGGGCTGTTGGCTGGTGGGGTCCAGTGCCACAATGCCACATTCAGTGGCTGCTGGGGGGTTCCCCTGTGTGTGTGTGGGCAGCTCATGGTCCAAGGCCAGCGAAGGCCCATAAAAATGTCAGGCCTGTGCAAAGGACAGAGCTCTTTGGCCTTCTTTCTCCCCTGGCTAGAGGTTTTCTTCCTAGTTATGTCTCCTTAAAAGAAGCCCTTCCTTTTCTCCACCTGGGGATCCTGCCCCTCCAGTGTTCTCACCAACAAGTATACAGAGCAGAGGTCAGAGGAGACACGGCACAGACGTCAGTGGCATTTCAGAGCATAAAACTCTTCTCAAAAGAAGGTTTAATCCAATCCCTTCTCACAGATGGGGAAACTGAAGCCTGGGATGAGAGACTTGCCTAAGACCATGCAGAAAACTGGCAAGAGAGAGAGGGATAGAGCCTAGTTCCCCAATCCCAGACAGGGGCTCTTCGCTTCATCCACATTACCTCTGCCTGTCTCTTCCAAGAAAGAAGAGAGTGAAGGCTTAACTGACATTTGACAGCAGAACAAACTACATAAGAACTTCACCTAACCCCTTTCCCTGACTCTGTCTACGTAAAAGAGTGTTAATTATTCAAAGAGGTACTGACTCCATTCTCAGGGACAGGACAGAGAGGAGACAGTGTTTGCTGTTCAGGGCTAGGACATCAATGCATCACCGTTCCTGGAGATCACAGCTCAGGAATACTACAGAGATAAAAATGGACTTGAATGTTGACTGCACATTCAATAAAAGGTTAAATGTGGCCGGGCGCAGTGGCTCACGCCTGTAATCCCAGCACTTTGGGAGGCCAAGGCGGGTGAACTGCCTGAGCTCAGGAGTTCAAGACCAGCCTGACCAACATGGTGAAACCCTGCCTCTACTAAAAATACAAAAAATTAGCCAGGGGTGGTGGCACATGCCTGTATCCCAGCTGCTCAGGAGGCTGAGGCAGGAGAATTGCTTGAACCCAGGAGGCGGAGGTTGCAGTGAGCAGAGATCGTGCCACTGTACTCCAGCCTGGGCGACAGAGTGAGACTCCGTCTCAAAAAAACCCCCAAAAAACAAAAAACAAAGGTTAAATGTGCTTTAACCTTTCATTAAAACAAAAACCGGTTCATTCTTCACCACTTATTTATAGGGCCCAAGTGTTCAATTAGTGTCTTAAAAAAATAAGGGGGAAAAGGATATTTAGATGCCTTTAAATTCAAGTCAACGAGAGCCAAATGAAACACCAACAGTCTCACATTTGTGGGAGTCGGTTCTGTCACCACTTTTCTTCAGCTATTCCTCTCTCCACCATTGGCCAGCATGAGCCCTAATGCTGGGATAGATGGAAGCTCACGTTCTTCAGTCTAGTTCCAAGGCCCCCACCAGAGCTTGCTGCCCACCTGCCCTTCTATTTCCATTCCTAGGCCTCACCTCACTGACATGAATTCCTTCACTGCATGCTGCACTTGTACTGCCTCTTTTTCTTTTCTTGGGATTCCCTCTCCTCTTTTTCTCCCCTCATCTCCGTGCTTCCCTCTCTACCTGTCTAAATCCTAAATCTACCTTCAAGGTCATAAAACACTCCTGCATCCCTCCAGTCTCATATTTCTTTCTTTGAGTCTGATCTCCAGGGCACCTGATTTGCCTCTACAGAGGAAAATGGGGCTTCCTGCCTAGTGATGGACTCTCCATCCATTCATGTATTCATTTAGTGTTTATTTACTACTCATCGATTCATTTAAGTCGTTTACAGAATACCTTCTCTGTGTCAACAGTGCCTGCCTCAAGGAGCTCACCTCTCAATGTGGAAGACAGAAAACAGATAATTGTAACAGCATAACCATTGCCACAGGATCGAAAATGCATTCCGAAGGCAGTGGAAAGTCACTGAAGGATTTAAAAGAGGCAAAGCAGTGACAGAAACAAATATGTGTTCTCAAACCTGTTCTTGGAGCAACGTAGAGGGTGGATTTGGTGAGGGTGGGAGTGTGGTGTGAGGATAATGATGGTGCTAAAGTGAGGGTTACAAGGCTCATCAGAAGGTTATTGCAATCATTCCAGCACAATATGAAAGTGCACCCCAAGGGAGAAACAGAAGGAATACAGGGGAGGGGAAATGACTGTGGGCAGGGACTGTGTATGTCTAAGACCCCATGGTTTCTGGTTGGCCCTTTTGTGTGGAAGGTCACTGTTTCCAGCAGGAGTAGGTTGAGGGAAGGGCTGAGGGGCTCACTCCTGCCCATGTTATGATTAAGGAGATTGAGTGCAGGAAGACAGAGGTCTACATGGCTATTCCATGGCTATGGAGCTTAGGTCCCCAGCAGGCTGTAGATCTCATGGATATATTTTCCCTGTTGGTACTTGAGGTCAGAAACAGAGACTGAGAACTACTGGTTTTTTGGTCCTTTCTTGAGTATGTAGATGTTCATTTGCCTTGTGAGTCAATGCAGGACCGAAACTCCAAAATAGGCAGTATAAATGGAGAGAAGGCACATTTATTGGGCAGAGTAACCAGTGGGAGCCTAATCACTTTGATTTGCCACTCACCACAGCTCCCTAGCCCCGGTTTATTCACCTATGATGGAGATGTTGATACCTGGGACACAGGACCACCGTGAGGCCATGATCTCATGTGTTCTCATCCGCCAGCCTCATGAGTCTGTGGAAGAAGCATTGCCTTCAGGAGCTTGCAGTCATAGTTCTGGTCATGCCTTTGGACAAATGGCTTCTATTTGCTGAGTTTTAATTTTCTGTCTTAATTGCAGGATCTGAAATACCATCTCCAAGTTTAGGATGTTACATCCCAAAGATAGTGTAAGAAACTCCTGATTTAAAGAGTCATAACCACACCTACTACACTTCAAGGCTCACTAAATGAGAACAAGAATGGCAAAATGACTATCAAATGTCATGAAGATAGCCAAGCCTTGGGATCATTACTCACTGCGGCCTGACAGCTTCAGAGTGGCGGCTTATGTTCATTTCCCCACAAGCAGGGCATTAAGGGACCTCTTGGCACTGGGGGTGTCTATTCCTGTAACAAAGTCAACTGAGCCATATCCACATTTTCTCTAAAATAATAACTCACTTTGCAGAGAATGCAGAGACATTGTAATGCTGATGCCAGAGGAACGGGACAGGGGAAGAGAGAAGCCTGGAGCATCATGTGGGGGTGGAGCTTTGGAGAGGAGACCAAATTGCCTCTTGCATTCTACCTGGGCTTGAGTGCATTGTAGTGGAGAGACCACGAATTGGATGCTCCGCATGATCTGACTGGAGTCCTGACTCTGTTACCTACCCAATAGAGGACTTTGGAGAGTTACTTAACCCCAACTTAGCCTCTCTTGGTCTCTTCATCTGCAAAACAGGAATAGCACCAGCACCCCTGGGAAGTGATTGTGAGAATGAAATGAAAGAATATAGGACCTGGCACAGGTTGTGGCCAGTACAATTTAGTGACCTCTATAGAAACATTATTCTTCAATCACCTTCCAGTTTTCCAAACCAAGGGGAAGCTACCAGTGGGCGGGAATGGGCCATGGCCAGCTTGGGGTCCTCTGACTGTGCTGGGGGAAGGGAGGCCTCCCTTGTTTCTTCCTGCAGCCTTGGGGAGTCCTTTCATATGCATCTGCCCAGGCTAGGGGATTAGGCAAATGCAGGCCACAATTTGCAAAACAGCACGTCTGTCACGTTTGCTGCAGGAAATTTTCATGGGGACTCTTGTTAACTGGTGAGACTGCAGTGCTCTGATGAGGACAGGTCTCAAGTGTGGATCAGCCTTTTGGATAAGCATGAATCCTGTTTGCCTACTCCTTAGCCTCCCAGGGGTGGGGCACTACTTCCAATGAACCAGGGTTTGAACAAAAGCTGGGATTTGTTTTCCAGTGTGAAATCTAGCAGGAAGATGTCTGTGTTTAAATCAAGGCCCCAGCCCCTCACCCCCACTACCTCAGACCCTCCCAGCTCTTCTAGTGCCACCTGCAGTCTGGGGTGAGGGTGTCAATGTGTGTTTGGAGGGTAGAGGCGTGAGGGCAGAGAGGACTTTGTATTGGGTATTACCCCAGAGCAGGAAAGGGTTATTCAGTTAAACATTCATTAACTTATCACCTACTTTGCACCTAGCCGGACGCTAGACACAGGCGGAGCTGAGGGAGAGGCAATAGGGGACTGGGGTCTTTTGCTTCAAGAAACAGAGTCTATAGAGGAATAAAGGGCTATGCACAGCTGCACTGCAAAGCTAAATACAAGCACGCAAAGAAAAGTTCACAGGTGTTTTTGTCCCAGCAATAGAAGGCTGCATTCCAGGCCACCGGCCCTCACATTTCTAGCCTCAGGCTTTTAGAGACATTCCAGCCACTTACCTGCAAGACTTCCTAAGCAACATACCCTGTCCAGAAGAGAAAACAAAACTGCACCTGCCTGAGAGATAAGAAGCATATATTTATGTCTTTCATCCTTCTCTCAGAGGCAATTTACTACGATGGAGGCTCTAAGAGAATAAAGAAAGGCATGAGGGACCCAGTCTGCTGCTGCTTCGATTTGTCCTTGGCTCTCGTGGTGACCTGGCTTGAAGGAAAACCTCAGTTGGAGGCTGATGTATGAAGAATGAACAAATGAATGAATAATGATACACAGATGAGCATATCACAGCCCTGCTGCATAGGGACTCTACGGGGCAAAATTCAGAGTTCTCAATCACACAATTAGCCACCTGCTTGAGCAGATTCAAGATCAATGCTTTCTTCCGGGCACTGTACTGGCTTCACTCAGAACAAGTCCCACGTTGAGGAGAAAGACCAGCATCTTGACTGGGTGAGAGTGTAACTCACATTCTTGAACTCACACTTTTCTAGTGTCAAAAATTACCAACCGCACGGAAAGATTTGCCCTGTAGGTCTCCTCAGAGAGTGCAGCTGAGATTGTCAGCGTGAAGACCAGGTGGCCTCTGAACTGCTTGTCTTAGCATTCAGGACCGCTATGACCTGCTCCTGCCTGCCCCTTCCTACCCTTGACACTCAGAACCCACCTCACCCACTGCTCTTCTTCACACACAGCTCACTTGACCTTGGCACGTTCTTCTCAGCTGCGCCCATGTTCCCCACCGCCTAGACTTGGCTCATGGGTGGACTTCCATGACCTCTGCCTGCTTAGTCTTTAGCCCCCCACAGAAGTCCTCACCAAATGAAGTTTCCTCCAGTCCCTCCACTTGACAGGAACTTCTCTCCACTGTGTTAGCGGGGTATGGTGAGTGTAGCTCTGTGAGTTGGAGGCTCTGTGCATGCAGTGGAGCCAGCAGAGCCCACACAGACTGGCGAGCCCGTGGACTTCAGACATGTATGTGGACCAGCTGATTTGCTTCAGGGAAAGGGGCCCTGGGTACTTTGGTTCTTCATGTGTTTGGATCACTGATTGAGATGAAGACAAGGTGCTATTAATTCAGGAGAGGTAGAGAGAGGCTGCAGGCCAGGGTAGTGTGAGATCCTAAAGGACTGAGAATGTCCCACTGTGGCTCTCCCATGCCCTTGTCCCGGGAATTGTTCCTTATGCTAATAGAGTGTGGATTGATTTTCTTCCACAACAGCCAGGTAAGGGTGTGCAGGGTTTACACAGCACAAGGACACCTGGCCACGGGGCCAAATGGGGATGGAATCCCAACCACCCTCCACGTCCTAAGCTATATGCTTGGATGGGGTTACCCAGACAGCAAAAGGGGCACTGTTTTCTAATACACACAAAGATAAAGTGTGGGCTAGAGGCCTGCCCTAACATTTGCAGAGCCTGGGGCAAGAATGCAAATTAATCAATCTATTATTTAAAAGTTATAAAATAAGCCTAAAACTATTAACTAAAATATATTTTATCCTTCAGCCAAGACAAATAGATCTTTATAATAACATGAAGCCCATGTTCTAATTTAGAATTCTCAAAAGGGGAGCTTACCCCTAGCCCATGCCCAACCCCCTTCCCTTCCCTTCCCCAGCAATGTCCTTGCCCACAAGGACCATTATGCATCCCCATCTGGACACAGCAGGGCACCCAGCTCAGAAGCCCAGGTCCTCTTCCAAATCCCTTGAATGCAAATATCCTGTGTTGCCCCTGGACCTAGGGGTGCACACACTGGCTGTGTATCCCTCGGTGGCCCCCGGGCTTAGGGGTGGGTGCACATGCTGGTTATATATCCCTTGGTGGTCCCTAGGCTTTGAGGTGCACGCACTGGCAGCATATCCTGGGCCTAGGGGTACACACGCTGGCTGTACAATCCATACTTGGGAGAACAAATCTGAGGAAAGACCCATGTAGGCCCCAGACCTGGCTAGTGGTGTTTTGACAGGGAATTCCAGATGCTCAGGGTAAGGACTAGACTGAGGAATGCAGGCTCCTGGTAGCCGTATGCCCTTGACTTGTTGGGCTCCTTGCCCATGGGCATGGGCATGGTCCTAGAAAGTGCTGGACTCCTCTAGCACAGGCCTAGGCGTGAGATTGCTGTACTGGTAGCAGCCGTAAGTGTTAAGTTCCACAGCTGGGTAGGTGGGGAGAATGAGGTGGCAAGCGTGGGCCTTCATCTAGCAATCCCTTGTCTGCCCAAGGCCAGGTGATGACATTCAGTGGCTCATGTCTGCTGCTCTGTCCAGCTCTTTGATGTCAGGTGCCATGTCATTTTTGTACTCTTGGTAGCAACTATTAAAGCACTATCCTTCAAGGCATAAGTGTTCAAGGGGCAGTTCTAAAATGTGTCGTGATACACATCATGAAAATAACACTGGACTTGGAATCAGGACGCGTGGGTTCTCTCTCTGCTCTGCCACAGCTCACTCAGCTTAGGCTTATCATGTTTCCTCCCCAGGCCTTATATTTTCCCGTCTAGAAAATAAGGGTGTTGGTGGCCGGGCTGTGTGGCTCACGCCTGTAATCTTTGGGAGACCGAGGCGGGTGGATCACCTGAGGTCTGGAGTTCGAGACCAGCCTGACCAAGATGGAGAAACTCCATCTCTACTAAAAATACAAAATTAGCTGGGCGTGGTGGTGCATGCCTGTAATCCCAGCTACTTGGGAGGCTGAGGCAGGAGAATCGCTTGAACCCAGGAGGCAGAGGTGTGGTGAGCCGAGATAGTGCCATTGCACTCCAGCCTGGGCAACAAGAGCAAACTCTGTCTCAGAAAAAAAAAAAAAAAAAAAAAAGAAAAAAGAAAAGAAAAGAAACGAAAAGAAAAGAAAAGGGTGTTGGGCCGACAGTTTCCAAAGTTCCATTCGGATCTGAAGGTCTGTGGTTTATGACTCCTGCAAGCTAGTTTTCCTTATCTGTCCATCTTTCTCAACCCTAGGTACTCAGTACAATGACCCAGGAAGTTTTACCAAAAAATACCAGAGCCCAGGCCCTACCCCCAGAGATTCTGCTTCAGTTCTTCTGAGGCGTGGCCCAAGCCAAAGCTCCCCAGTGACTCCGAAGTGCAGCCGCGGCTGAGAAGCACTGTTAGAGTTGGACGGCAGCTCTTGACTCCTCCCACTCCTCACCCACATCCAGGGACAATGGAGCCGGACAGATGCCTGGCTGCAAAAGCAGAACAGCTGTAGGCAAGGCTAGACTCTGGGATCCTGGGGCGGGGGTCTCCTGCTCACTCTCCAGGAAGATGGGAATAAAGAGACCCAATTTCCTGGCCTCAGGCTCCTCGCCTCCCTATCCATCTTCCCATCCTCCAGCTGAGAGCCTAGGGGGAGGAGGAGGGAGAGCAGGCAGCTGCCTAATCTGGGGAGATTTTCTCAGGGGTGGGGGAGGCTGACTTTTGGCTCCAGTCTTCCTCCGCCCTCACAGCTGGAGCAGCCAGAGTGAGCGCGCTGGGGCTGGGATCTCAGCTGCTGGCAGTTGTTCCCATGTTCTGTCCCTGACAGCTGCAAATCTGCTGACGTGTTGCATGTGTGTGTGTCCACATGCGAGCGTGGACTCCAGCAGAACAAATAAGAATAATAAGCAGAACAAATAAGAGGTAGAATGTGGAGCCCAGGAGGTTGCCTGTTCTTCCTAGACTTCAAGTTACCCCTGAAGCCTTCCCTGACCCCCAGCTTCCTCCAGGCTGTAGCTCCCACGAGCCCCTCGTGCTTCCCCTCATTGAGAGTCCATGCTAGCAGCGGATTCGATGATTCCAATAGCTACATTTACTGAGCGGGTCCTGGGTGCCAGGCATTCTCCTAAGCAGGGTAGATTAATGGTTCTATTTAACCCTCAGAATAACCTTATGAAGCAAGCATTATGATTATTTCTATTTTATAGATGAGGAAACCAAGAAAAGATATGTTAACATTTAATCCAAGATCACACAGCTGCGAAGATTCAAAGTCAGGCAGCCTGGTGCCAAAACGTGAGCTCTTTAACACGTTGCTATTCTGCCTGCTGTTGGTGATTGATCACAGGTGAAGGCCTGTTCCAATAAATGAGGTCTCTCAGCCCTGACATTCTAACAGTGGTGTTGCTTGTAGAGACACACATTTTATACTTTGAGTTTTTTTTGTTGTTGTTGTTTAGATCAGAGTTTATCTTGGACAATATTGGCTGAGTTCATAAGCCAAAGTCAGAAGCACCTGTCATCATCCTGTGGGGCTCTGCTTCTGGGTGGACTGTAGGAGAAGTCCTGAGAGGAGAATGGTCTGGGCAGCATTGCCAGAACTGGGCTACAAAACAAGATTGTAAAACCACTGAACAAGAGAACCCCCGATGGTGGTGCAGAATGTGTGGGGCCTGCACCCTCCAGCTTGCAAAGGCTTCTGTTCCCTGGACACCTGAGGCCTTCGCCCAACAGTAGTGTTGGGTTGGGTTGAAATATCCACATGCCGGCCGAGCGCAGTGGCTCATGCCTGTAATCCCAGCACTTTGGGAGGCCAAGGTGGGCGGATCACGAGATAAGGATATCGAGACCATCCTGGCTAACAAGGTGAAACCCCGTCTGTAGTAAAAATACAAAAAATGAGCCGGGCGTGGTGGCAGGCACCTGTAGTCCCAGCTACTCGGGAGGCTGAGGCAGGAGAACGGCGTGAACCTGGGAGGTGGAGCTTGCAGTGAGCCGAGATTGAGCCACTGCACTCCAGCCTGGGTGACAGAGTGAGACTCCATCTCAAAAAAAAAAAAAACAAAAAAAAAAACAAAACGGAAATATCAACATGCCATTGCTTTCAGTGATGGCACAGGTCCTGCCTTTCTAAGATGGTGAGAGGCTCGGGGGCAGGGAGGGGCAGAATACAGCTTGTAACCTGATGTCCATAAAGCTTTTTGGTCCTGGGGTGTTTTTTGCTGAGCATACTGACCGAATATGTGCATGACTGTAGGGATGGGGCATCTATGAGACGGAAGTAACCATGAGAACAGCTATTAAACAAATGAAAACAGGTCGGCCATTCACTGCAGAGTTCAACTGATGCCTTCCCGGAAATCTCATTTGAACCCCCAACTTGCTTTTATGAGTTTAATCCTCTTCATCCCCTCTCCTTAGCCAAGTTTCATTCCCATTTGTTTAATTACCAGTTGTATGAACAAGTCCTTCCATTTTCTCTTACTAGGTTTTACATTTTCATTCATTGACACATTATAAAAATTAAAGTTCTTTACTAGAGAGAGGTGAATTCTGCTTCAGAAGAGTGAGTTTTTATGGGGTGTCAAAATTTAATGTGGATAAGAATGCACCATGGAATCACCAGGGTGTCTGGTTAAAATGCCGATGTGGCTTCCATCGGTCTGGGAGGTGGCCTAGGATTTTACGTTTCCAAGAAGCTTCCAGGTGATGACAATGTTCCTGGTCCACAGACCACACGTCGAGGTGCAAGGTTGTAGAGAGCCTGTGAGACAAACCACATTAACCTGAAGACTAGAGACCAAATAGCCATTCAAGCAATGCATCTACACTCTAAACAGCCCTATGGGCAGGTAAGTACTGCAGCCTCATCCCCGTGGGGAGCCTGGACCAGCCTCACTCGGCTTCTCTTTCAAATGAGCCCATCTGTTGACAGGCTGCACCTGCATTCACATCTCTGCACCTGCATCTCTGCTCAGGTACATTTTTGTCCTAAATCCCTGAAGCCAGGCTTTGTAAAAAGCCTGAGCTGGCTAAAGAATTGCTAGGAAGAGGAGGCGAGATGGTGTGCCAGGGGCATAGCGAGGAACGGGGGACTGGTGGGCCATGCCGCGCAGTGCCTGGATGGCCATGGTTGCCGAGTTTTGAGTGCAGGAGTAATATAATCTGATTTTTACTTTAAGAGGTATTCTCTGACTTTCGTTAGAATGGACTGGAAAATGGGACGGGGGAATAGAAACCGGAAGGGGAGGTAAGTGGCTGTTGAAGTTCCAGGTGGGAGAAGGTGGCTGGACTGAGGAAGGCAGCAGCAGAGCTGAAGAAATGCATGTCTAGAACTTCCCTGTTTATACTCGGGCCTCTTGAGAACAGGGAATGTGCTTTACCCATTTGCCTGCCTTCTTCAGTCAAGCTTCATGAGTGGTAACACCCAGCAGCTGTAATTCTCTCAGTTCCCACTCGCATATTCATCTGCAGCAGCCTGGTTCTGCCCTGCAGTTCTATTGGAACTGCTCTGTCAGAGACCACCTGGGATCCTCACAGAGTAAAATAACCTCATTTAAAAATTCTGTCTCGCCACTTCTATTCAACATGGTATGGGGGTCCTAGCCGGTTTAATAAGTCATGCAAAAAACAAGGCATACACCTTGGAACAGAAGAAATAAAACCATTTTTTTGTGAACAATGTGATCATATATGTAGAAAATCCTAAGGAATTTTCAAAAAGCTACTAGAACTGATAAATGAATTCGACAGTGTCTCAGAATATAAGGTTAATATGTAGAAATCAATTGTATTCCTATATGCCGGCAAAGAACAACCCAAAAAATAAAACTTCAGAAATTCCATTGACAGTAGCATAAAAATATTTAGGAATAAATTTAATAAAAGATATTTTAGACTTATACACTGAAAACTACAACATATTGCTGAGAGAAATTAAAGAATACCTGAATAAACAGAGAGATATGCCATGTTATTGCTTGGAGGTCTCAATGTTTTTAATTAAAGATGGTAATTATTTTTAAATTAATCTATATATTTAATGAAATCACAATAAAAATCCCAGTAGACATTTTTGTAGGAATTGACAAGCTGATCCTAAAATTCATTTGAAAAGACAAATAACCTAGATTAAACAGAACAATTAAAAAAATTTTTTTTAATTGTGGTAAAATACACACGAAATTTACCAACTTAATAATTTTTAAGCTTACAGTTTAGCAATGTTAAGTATATTATCATTGGCCTGCAGCGAATCTCCAGAACTTCTCATCTTCCCAAACTATGTTTAATAAACTTCATTTTATTTTATTTTTTGAGACAGAGTCTTACTCTATTGCCCAGGCTGGAGTGCAGTGGCATGATCTCAGCTCACTGCAACATTCACTTCCCGGGCTCAAGCAATCCTCCCACCTCAGCCTCCTGAGTAGCTGGGACTACAGGCATGCACCATCATGCCCAGCTAATTTTTGTACTTTTTTGTAGAGACGGGGTTTTGCCATGTTGCCCAGGCTGGTCTCCTGGGCTCAAGGAATCCGCCTGCCTCCTGGGCTCAAGAGATCTGCAGAGATCTACCCACCTCAGCCTCCCAAAGCACTGGGATTATAGGTGTAAGCCACCACACCCAGCCTAAATTCAACATCCTTTAACTTCCCATTCCCCTCGACTCTCAACTCCTGGCAACCATCATTCTAATTTCTGTCTCTAAGGAAATGACAACTCTAGTTACCTCACATAAGTGGAATTATACATTTGTCTTTTTGTGATGGACTTACTTCATTTCACATGACCTCGATATTTAACCACATTGTAGTATGTGTCAAAATTTCCTTCTTTTTATAGTCCACTGTGTGTGTATGTATGTATGTATGTATGTATGTGTATGTATGTATGTATGTATGTGTATACATACCACATTTTGTTTTTTCATTTGTAGATGGACACTTGAGTTGCCTCCACCCTTTGGCTATTGTGAATAATGCTGCTATGTACATGGGTATACAAATATCTCTTCCAGCCCCTTTGATTCTTTTGGGTATATATGCAGAAGTAGAATTGCTGAGTCATATGGTAATTCTATTTCTAATACGTGAGGAAACACCATACTATTTTTCAAAGTAGCTGCATCATTTAATTTTCCACCAACAGTATACAAGGGATCTAGTTTCTCTATATCCTCACTGACATGTTATTATGATTATTTTTGATAGTAGCCATCCTAATGGGTGTGAGGTGGTAGCTCAGTGAGGTTCTGATTTGCATTTCTTTACTGGTTAGTTACATTTGAGCATCTTTAATGTGCTTATTGGACATTTGTATATCTTCTTTGGAAAAACATCTATTTGTCCTGTGACACAAAACAATTTTTTTAAATAATCAAGTTAACAATTTATGCTACCTGATTATAAGACTTACTATAAAACTCAGTAATTAACAGTGTGGTATTAGATAACAATGAATCAATAGAGTGGAATTGAGAGTCTAGAAATAGATCCTTACTTTTATATGGTCAAATAATTTTGATAAAGATACCAGGGTAATTCAATAGGGAAAAACATAGTCTATTTTTATAAGTGATCTTGAAATCACTGAATAGTTATAAAAGATATTACTCTTGACCCTTTCCTTATACCATATACAAAAATTAATTCAAAATGGATTACAGGACTAAAACTATAAAACTTCTAGGAGAAAGTGAAGAAATTTTTTTTTAATAATTTTGGGTTAAGCAGATTCCTTAGGAAGCAGAAAATACAAATTATAAAAGAAAAAAACTTAGTCATTAGGCTTCATCGAAATTTAAAAATTTGTTCAGTGACAGGAAATGAAAGGTCACGGATTGGGAGAAAATATTTGCAAACTATCTGATTTGAATTAAGAATATATAAAGAACCCTTATAACTTAATAGCAAGAGAAACTACCCAATTAAAAGATTGGCAAAAGATATGAACAAATGTTTCACCAAAGAAGATATATGAATAGTCCAAAAGCACATAAAAAATGTTCAACACCACTGGTATTAGGGCAATACAAATTAAAATTAAAACCACAATAAGATCTAATTATATGCCTGCTAGGAAAATTAAAAAACAAAACAAAACAATATGGAGTGTTGATAAAGGCATAGAGAAACTGGGATCCTTGTAAGTTGCTAGTGGAAAGGTAAAATGGTAGAGCCTTTTTGCAAAAGTTTGGCATTTTCCTTTAAAAGTAAACACGTGCTTGCCATGCAACCCAGCAATTCTGCCCCTAGGTATTCACCCAAGAGAAATGAAAATCTGTGTCCTACCAAAGAGTTGTAAGTCAATATCCGTTGCAGGATTATTCATCATAACACTAAATGGAAGCAATGGCAATGTCTGTCAGTTGATGAATGGTTAAACAAAATGTGGTCTATTCATACAGTGAAAAACTATGCTCCAGAAGAAAGAAATATGTTACAAATTCAGGCAACAACATGAAGAAATCTCAAAAACAGGTTAAAAGAAAGAAGGCAGACACAAAGGACTACATGATTCCATTTGTATGAAATTTCTAAAAATGGCAAAACTCTAATGATAAAAGCATATCTGTGGTTGTCTGGGGCTGGTCTTGGGATCAGGGATCAACGGCAAAGTGGTGTGAGGGAAATTTTTGTGGCAATGAAAATGTTTTAAAACTTGAGTGTGGTAGTGGTTACAGGACTGTATAAATTCACTAAAACTCAGTGACCCATATGCTTCAAATGAATGAATTTTATGGCATGTAATTTATGCCACAGTAAATTGGTTTAGAAAAGTCTTTTAATACATGAAACACCTACTAAAACAAATGAATTAAAAAAAAAAACCCCCACAAAACTCTTGGCTTTGAATGACTGTGGTTCTGCCCTTTCCTGGTTCTCCTCATGCCTCCGGGATGAGTTGCAGTCTCTTTCATGGAACGCTCTCTTCTGCTAACCCGGTAATGAGTGTTGCCTCTCAGGATCCAGCCTTTGGCCACTGCTTTCTAATGCCAGAGCTCCTCTCTGCATCATTTCACTCATACTCCTGCTTTTCACAATGATCAAGTGACTGTCAGGGGTATGTTCCTATCCTGACCTCTTCTCTGAGCTTCAGACTCATTGATTCAGGTGGTTTTGTTTTTGTTAGTGTTTTTTTTTTTTTTCCTTCAGGATATCATTAGCTGGTGCCTGTGATAATGGACACCACATACTCCATTGATACAACATTTGACTCATCTTTCTCCTCCTTTACCTTCTCTTCCTCTCACATCCTTCATCTGTCTTAGTGTCACCACCATCCACACAAACATTCAAGCTAGAAATGTGAGGGTCAAATATATATCAATCACCAGACCTGGGTTTTGTTTTGTTTTGTTTTTTTTGAGACGGAGTCTCACTCTGTCGCCAGGCTGGAGTGCAGTGGCGCGATCTCGGCTCACTGCAACCTCCGCCTCCTAGGTTCAAGCGATTCTCGTGCCTCAGTATCCTGAGTAGCTGGGATTACAGGCATGCACTGCCACCGTGTCCAGCTAATTTCTGTATTTTCAGTAGAGGCGGGTTTTCACCATGTTGGCCAGGCTGGTCTCAAACTCCTGACTTTGTGATCTGCCCACCTCCGCTTCCCAAAGTGCTGGGATTACAGGTGTGAGCCACCATGCCAGACCCAGACCTGGTTTTTATTTTATTTTTGTTTTAAAATAAAGTTTACATAGAAAAAAATGCTCAGGTTTTAATGTTTAGTATGATTAATTTTGACAATCATACACATTCATGTCATAATCCTCAAAATAAAATATAAGACATTTCTATTCTTTGAGGAAGTTCCCTCATGCCTCTAACTGGTCAACAACCCCCCACCTAACACCCCAAAACACTTACATAAACCCACAAACTGGTGTCTAACATTATATATTCGTTTGTCTACATTTGGATTTCATGTAAATGGAATCATACAGTGTGTACTATTCTGGGTCTGGTTTCCTTCACTTCCCATAATGGTTTTGCCAGTCATCCATGTTACACTGAATATATAAATAGTTTGTTCCTTTCTATTGCTTAGTGATATTCCATTATATGGACATACCATAGGTTGTTTATCCATGTACTTCCTGGTGGACATCTGGGTTGCTGCCAGTTCTTCAATATTTGAATAAGACTGCCATAAACATTCTTTACAATTTTATTGGGAACATATTTTTCTTATACAAGTCTGTATAAACATAGTTTTCTTGGGCAAATACCTAGCAGTGGAATTGCTTGCTTATAGGGTAGATGTACACTTATAAGACACTCTCAGAGTCCTTCAAAGAGTTTCTGCCATTGGCCTCTCCCACCAGCAGTGCATGAGAGTTCCAGGTTCCTCACATTCCCACCAGCACTTGGTATGATCATTTGTTTTGATTTTAGCCATTCTAAGGGGTATGAACTGCTGTCTTACTGTAGTTTTAACTCGCATTTCCCTGATATTTAATGTTGAACACTCTTTCATGTGCTTAATTGGGCATTATCTTCTTTTGTGAAGTGCCTGTTCAAGTCTTTTGACCCTTGCCTTATTGAATCATTTGTCTCTGTATCTTCTATTTGTTGGACAGTCTTGTTAATTTTTAAATCCAAAATATTTCTCCTTTTGGTCCCTTCCTTTCCACCCTGCTACCACTGAGCTAGCTCAGGGTCTTCTCATGTCTCGACTAAACAATTCTGACTCGTTTCTTTGCCACTAGTCCTACCCTCTTGTTTATGATGCCTTTGATGCAGGCAGAAAAATCTCTATAAATCAATCTATGTCATCCCTCTGTTTCCCATAACCAACAGGAAAACATCAGGCATTTCAGGTGACAATCAGGCCCCTCGTGTGTGTTCAGAGTGACTTCCTCAGCCTCATCTCCCTACACGCCCAGTCTCCTGATTTGCTGATGAGTAGTGCTAATCATTTGTACTTGGTGCTCTTCTTTTCCTTCCTCTTAAGAGTCAGGCCAATGACATCCCTTCTCGGAAGCCTTCTGTAAAGCCCCAGCCCGAGCTAGGTCCCTCCTCTGTGCTCCCTAAGCAATGGGGCATCCATCCACACAGTCCCAACCTGTGGCAAGAGCACAGCAAGTGCTGGCTCACTGAACGAGGCATCGATTTCCTAGACTGTGATATCAGGAAAAAGCTGCTCATGGTTTTAACAATGACAAAAGTGTGTGTGGAGAGATAGGCAGAAGCGGGTGAGATGAATAGGCCGAGTTCCCTCGAGTCACACCGCAGGCACCCTCTCTGCCGGGAAGAGTGGGAGTGTGGGGAAGGGCTGTTTGCTGTGCCCACCCTGTGGAGCAGTGCCCTCTGGGCTCTCCCTGTCCTGGTGACTGAGTCCCAGCAGTGGCCTGAGTCCATGACAGAGGGGCCTGGGGAGCTGAAGGTGATCTGCTGCCTGTGAGCCCCAGGCTGTGCTACCCAGCTCTCTTGCTTGTCACCTTGCTAAAGACACAGCAAAGAGACCCCTCTTCTGTTCAACGGCCAGAGGCACAGTGTGGAGACTCCAAATCCAACTTGCAGGCACGCAGAACGATTCTGCCTTTGTCCCTTCTCTCTCATTTTGGAGACCCCTGAGGGAGTTTGTTGTTAATCTGCCCACCTCTGATGCCAGTCTTCCCCGTTCACATTTAAGCATGTTTGAATAAGAAGCCAGGTGTTGGCGTTAGCAGCTCATTAAGTTATAGTAAGAGGAGGGAGGAATCGAAGACTCCCAGGCAGAGAGTGAAGCTTAGAAGATCAGGCCCTCCACCCTCCTCCATGCTTGGTTCTTCTCCACAGCGTCTTTGTTTAGTGGGCTCTCCACCCCGACTGAAATCCCTGCAATGACAGGAACTCACCACCTCCTGGTACATCCCACTCCACCTGGGACAGCTCTGACAAGGACAGGACTTCGCAATTTCGAGCTGCAATCGGTCCCCCTACGTATCCCCACCATAGTCCTGTTCTATGGTGGGCCCCCTCTGGGGCCCCAGAGAACAAAGTATGGGTCTTCCCCATGGCAGTCTCTCAGGTATGTGAAACCAGCCTTTCTGTTCTCCAAGGCTTTTCTTCTCCAGGCCAAAGGCCCTCCACTCCTACAAATCTTTTCCATGTGACATGGTTTCAGTTTCCCTCAGCAACCACCCTGCTGTTACCATGCCAGCTGCAAACTTGCCTTGGCCTCCAGGGGACTCACAGCTTGGACATTCTCATTATCCTCCCGAGTCGAGTCATCTCCCCAACTCAGCGTTTTTTATTTTGTTGTTTTCACTCAGTTGATCATATTCTTGGCAAATAGACGTAGGCTATCAGCTGACTCAGCCGCAGAATCAGCAGAAAGGACTGTGTCTCCTTCACCTCTGTCTCCCCTGCGGCACCCACTACAGTCCTTGGGAATGGGTGGCTGCTAAGAAAAGGTTTGTGAAACTGAGTTGAATGGAGAGGGTTGGCTGGAGACCTGAAAGAGGATTTTTAAAGGCCCAGGTCTCATCATCAACGTGGCCACTCACTAGGTGGTGGAAGGAATGTAGAAAGGATCCTTCCAGCTAAAGCAGGTCCGTGGCGCACCTGCTATGGGTGGTTTCTGTGCCAGATTCTACACTAGAAACATAGCAGTCCACCTTCCCTTCTTTGAAGACAGCACAGGATCCACATCACACCCTCTTTATCCCCTTCTTGAAACGTGTGTCTCAGAAAAAGTGTTTAAATAAACCAGTTTGAAGAGCCCATTCTTGTATTTGGGATTCATATGTATATTAACAACCCCGTGGAAAGGCAAAATGTTGTTATCTGCCTCCTGGAGAGCTTAGATCTCCCAGGAGATCTGTGGCTTGTCTGATGTTGCCTACAGTGCCACTGGCCCCTTTTCTCTTCAAACTAAACTGTCAGGAAGATTAGCAATACCAGGCAGGCCCTCACAAATCATGGAGCGGAGGACAGGCTGTCCCAGCACGGATCCTGCAACTGAGGTCAGCCACAGAGCTTCCCATTTTTGCCATCAATTTCTTTAAGCCTGTCTCTCTGGAACCCAGAGCCCACATTTGCAATGAGCCCTAGAGGCTCTTACGAGTTGGAAGCGGTCACTTGATATTGATTTAGGGCCCTTGGGTTTCTGGAAGCATGCCAAATCTGAAGCAGGAAAAAAAATCTCATCGCCAAGAAGACTTTGGGATAAAAATTGCTTTTTTGTGCATCTACTTTTTAGCATTGAGGTTGTGGCAAAGATGACCTATTACTTTTGCAACAGTAACAAAATCTCAGAGGCTAGAGCTTCTTGCTCTGAAATTTTAATTTTTTCCCTTTTTATTTCTCTTCTCTTCTTTTTAATTTTTAGCTTTATGGGGAGCATTGAGAAAAGTTACTGAGTTTCCATACTGACATACTTCAGAGTTGAAAAAAGATCGACAAAAATCTAATTAAAAAATAACCCAGTTGTAAGACAAAATTCCATACAGTTTCACCCAAGGCCTTCTATGCTAAGATTTAATTCCAATCCATTCTCTCAGCAGAAAGGGATCTTCCTTAGTTTTACAAATCTGTGGGAGCAAGGCACCCAGGGTGTCTGGGCCAACCAGGGTCACTCAGCAAAGAAAAATGCCTTTTGTGACATTCAAGTTGCATTTGTCTGGGGTTCCCACACATACTCATGGAATCTGGAAGATTAGCAGTGAAAAATGACCTATTTTAACAGGTGCACACTTGTGTGTAAGTGGGATTTAGCTGAGCGTGGAATTATTTTAACATGGAAATAAGTTGTGGACATTAAGAAACATCACTCTTTTGACCACACAGGAATCAGACACATGGTCAACATTTGGGAGTTTCTCAAGACTTGAAACGGATGTGTTGGTTGGATTTTTCCAGAGGAAGCCATAATATCAGAGAAATAAACATGAATGCCTATAAAACATGACTGTTCGGGTTCCAATTCCTTCCTCAAAGCATGTCCCTTTTCTCCAAGGAACAGAGAGCAAAACTTTCAATTATTAAATCTGTTTTGGAAAGATCGTTTCAAACGTACAAAATAGCAATAGGTAAAGTAAACCCATGTTTCTCAGCACAGTGCTTTTCAGAGGGGTTGTGGTCCAAAGGAAAGATCACTGGCTGAGTCAGAAGACAGTGGCTCAACAATCATGAGACACCTGACCTGGGACAAGAAGCTGCATGTCACTGCACCTTGACATTATCACCTGTGAAGTGGGAATCCTGAGCCTGTGTGCAGCCTCTACCACACGGAGCTATTGGGAGGGGCACGTTAGGTGGTAATGGGAAGATGTGGTGAATGGATGAGGGCTGCCAAGGTCACTGGATCTGTCATTGCGGTGGAAATGACTGGAACCAGACAAACTGGTTTCTGAGCCCTGTTCCCATTTTTGTTCTGTTTTGAGCATGTGTAGTTTTGTCTGTTTTCCCTGAGCGGAGACTCAGGGATACCACATGCAGTAGGAGGGAGTGGCAGACGTGGGATCGCTGAGCCTCAGTAGTGCCTCCAGGAGAAAATAATTTTTTTTCAAGGTGACGGCCATTCTGTCCCGTGACGTGACTTTCCCTGGAATTTATTCAGGGACTTGAATCTGGAAATCATCAAAATGATTTCAAGGTAGATGGAAGCACATTTCTTTAATGAATAGAAAATTGAAATCTGCTTTCTCAAGATAGCCAGATGATGCCTCTTGTGTTCCTAAAACAGCCCTAAAGGTACGATTTCAATGTCTGTTCATCACGTGTTTATGGTGGAGCAAGCTTGTCCAACCCATGGCCCAGGACGGCTTTGAATGTAGCCCAATACAAATTTGTAAACTTTCTTAAAACACTGTTTTTTGTGTGTGATTTTTATTTTTATTTTTTTAGCTCATCAGCTATCATTAGTGCTAGTGTACTTTATGTGTGGCCCAAGACAATTCTTCTTCTTCCAGTGTGGCCGAGAAGCCAAAAGATTGGACACCCTTGTATAAAGAAACACTGACTCCTGGTCATTTCTTTTGGAGAAACACATTGGCTGTGTGACTTTGTTCAGGTCACTTGATCTTTCTGAGGCTCAGCATCCTCACCTTTAAAAGAGGGGAAATGCAACCCCGTCCTGCCTATTCCACGGGGCAGTGTGTGTGTGTGTGTGTGTGTGTGTGTGTGTGTGTGTGTACATACATATACATATGCACACACATACACAGACTCATAGGATGGGGAAATGTCCTCACTATGTGAAAAGCACTTTTTTTCTTTGTTTCTTCTATACACACACACACACAGAATCTGAGGCAATGGGTAAGGCGAGGTCATCCAGAAAGATGATTGAACGTCCACATGGAAAGTTGGTTTGAGAATAGGCTTTACAAGGGAATGGCTGAGCAATGTTTGCTCAGGGCTAATAATTGCAACTATTTAGTGCCTACTATGTGCCTGGCATATGGTAAACTGCGTCATCATTTAACCTTAACAACAGCTCTGGAAGTAGGCATGTCACCATTTTGCAAACAAGGAAGCTGAGGCTCAGGGATACCCCTGCCTTGCCCAGGTTCATGCACCAATAAGTGGCGATGGTTTGGCTCTCTGCTCTGTCTCCGGCAGAATCTGGCCTCTTGCTGCCTCATTCCTGTGGCATAGAGAACAGGGGACAGTGCATGAGTCAGAGTTCCCAGCTGTTCACAAAGACGACAAACTGGTTTCTGAGCCCTGTGCCCTTTTTCGTTTTGTTTTGAGCATGTATAGTTTTTGTCTGTTTTCCCTGCATCAGTTAATATTTCATGGGTTTTTGTTGTTGTTGTTGTTTTGTTTTGTTTTTTTTTTTTTAGACAGAGTCTGGCTCTGTCACCCAGGCTGGAGTGCAGTGGCACGATCTCAGATCACTGCAACCTCTGCCACCCGGGTTCAAGCAATTCTCCTGCCTCAGCCTCCCAAGTAGCTGGGATTACAGGTGCCCACCACCACACCCAGCTAATATTTAGTAGAGATGGGGTTTCACCATGTTGGCCAGGCTGGTCTCAAACTCCTGACCTCAAGTGATCCGCCTGCCTCGGCCTCCCAAAGTGCTAGGATTACAGGCAAGAGCCACCATGCCTGGGCAATATTTCATCTGTTTAAGTCTGTTTTGTAATTCTCAGGCCCGCAGCTCTGTCACTGCTCAGCCTCAGGTGCTGCACTATAAATGCTCCCTAGCTCCATCTCTCTTCCACAGCAGCCCCCAGTTCCCAGGCTGAATTTGCTGGGCCCAAAGCACGGGGATTAGGAAGAGAGGACCTTCCTCAGGAGTGAAGCCCCTCAGCCTCTCAGTTCTTGCAGCAGGGGATCCTGGGCCCTGGCTCTGGCCACCCAAGGAGAAAGCCTGCCTGGGCAGAGAAGGGGGCTCGGAGAGGTCCTCCCAACCACCTATTTATCGTTGCCCAGGCTCCTAGGCCTGGATCTGTCAGCCAGGGCCTGCCCATGGCCCTGGGAGGTGATGGGAGTGGTGGTAGTTTCAGTCTCTGATGAAAGCTGCTGAAACCGGCACGGAGCACACATGAAAAGGACGAAAGAGAAGGCGCAAGGCTGACTGCCAGGTGGCAGGCGTGATGGGACTTGTCTCCCACTTGGGGAGATGAAGACAAAAGGCAGCGTCATCCCCCAGAATGAGTGACTCTGCCTCTGTAGGGCTGTTTCTGAGCAGGGCCTCCGTGCCTGGAAGAATGATGCCTTTGGCCTCCTGAGTTCTGAGCAATATCCCCTGGCTAAGTGGGTTGTTCCCATCAATATTCAGGAGTCTTTGGTGTTGAGAAACCTTGAACGATGTAAGCTGAGAGGTAGCACCATCAATTCCTGTCTAGACTAGATTTTTGGAATCCAGGCTCCCAAGATGAAAGGGTACATTATGAAGGCAGGGCATAAATCTACCATGCCAACAAGACCCACATTCACCTCGGATTATTTACACCTTTCTGCCTCCCTCTGGGCATTGCCTGTCCCACTGTAGCCCACTTTCAACTTTTGACAGGATCACTTAATGCATCATGACCTACAAGTAGCCAGTTACATATATTTTCATTGTGAGGGACTCTGTACCCCAGGCCAGTTTCCCCCTCCTGACTCCCTGCAGTTTTACCTTTTTACTTGGCCCTTAAAGACACCACAGATGCTAAGGAAGGGATGAATGTTGGTCATAAGCACGCAGTGAAACCTGGCTGGGGAGGGTCACCGAGTGTGTATTACTAATTCGATCTCCGCCGCACCCTTGGTCTCATGCCCAGCACCTTTGTGTGGTGGTTACTCAAGGATGTGGGAAGCCGCTGGAGCGAGGCTGCTGACGCACCCCATTTCAGAACTGCCAACGCGGGCTCCTTGGCAACCAGAGCTCACCATCTGCCCAGGCAACCAGGGAGGGCACAGAGGGCAGTGAGCCTCTGCCAGGATGGACAGTTCTCAGCATTGAAAACTAGCTGTGGGTTCTGCCAGTACCGTGGAGCCAATTGTACGTCTCATTCAGCCTCGGGTCCTGCCTTGCCAGCTGCGTGTGGGCCATCTTAACTTGGATGATCCCTGGACGCTTACCATTTAAGAGCATAAGGGTGGATCAGTCACTTTCTCTTAGAGGGCTCCATTTTCCTGTCTTTGTCATGAGAAGATTGGGCTGCAATAGTCTTCCATGTGCCTTCCAGCACCGTGCAGTAGGATACGGCGGGTGTGGACCTTGAAAGCCAAAACGTCGATGTTCATATCTGGCTCTGCTGTGTGACTGCAGGCAGGCCCCTGAACTTTTTCACCCTCATTTCTTTGCCTCTGAAATAGGGCTAGATAAAGCCTCTTGGCCCCTGGCCCCTGTTATTACCCCCAGTTAACAACAGCGCTGATAATGACCCACACTTACTGTTGGCTTCCTGTGAGCCAGGCCGTGCTCTAAGGGCTTGGTATATGATAACTCATCTCATTTGTGAGAAAATCTCTCCAAAGCAGAAACTTCCCAGTTTCACTTTCACTGAGAGTGCTCATGGGCCTTCCCAAGGCCACACAGCCAGCAAGTATTATGTCTGGGACTTGAACTCAGTAGTGAGAGCTTACCTTCTACACGGTTCTCTCTCTGCAAGAGGAACCCCGTAAATGTCATGTCCATTTTCTTCTCCTTTTCTCTTTCAGCTCGGCACACTTCTTCATTTGGTGTCCAAAGTAACATCCACCTACTCTTAATGTTTTCGGCCGGGTGCAGTGGCTCATGCCTGTAATCCCAGCACTTTGGGAGGCTGAGGCAGGTGGATCACCTGAGGTCAGGAGTTTGAGACCAGCCTGGCCAACATGGTGAAACCTCTTCTCTACTAAGAATACAAATATTAGCCAGGCGTGGTGGCAGGCAACTGTAATCCCAGCTACTCAGGAGGCTGAGGCAGGAGAACTGCTTGAACCTGGGAGGTGGAAGTTGCGGTGAGCCGAGATTGGCACCACTGGCACTCCAGCCTGGGTGACAAAGCGAGACTCCATCTCAAAAAAAAAAAAAAAAAGTTTTCACGACTCTCCTCATCCCACACAGTCACCTGTGACTCCTGTCTTTTCTCCCAACCCCTTTTACTTCCATATTTCTTAGTGTTCCAGTTAGAGGGAACTGCTTGTGCAAATGTCCCGTGGCAAGAGAGAGTGCAGAGGGAGGACGAAGAGAGGGAACAACACAGTGGCTGCCTCCAGGCAGGCTGAGCTTGATGAACCAACAGGACCCTGACCATCTGAGCTTTGAGTTCTTTCTGCCTGCTAAGAGAAATGAGAAACTTCTGAAGCACTTTAAGTGAAAGAGTGACATGATCCAGGCTACCTTTTAAAAATAGTTTTTATCCTGCTAGAAACCTTTCCAGGAGCCAGCAGGGCCTTCCTATTCTGAGCCAAAGTTTTTCTGCCTCATATTCAAAGCCTCTGTCCAGCATCCAACTGGGACATGTGTCTGGGTTGGGGGCAGGGAGAAGGGCTTCCCAGGTGGGTGGATGGGATATGTAGTGAAAGACCCTTTCGTTCCAAGTCCGCAGGCCTCCAATGGGCTCTTCCACTCCTAATGCACAGCCCCTCACCTGTTCTCTGCTTTCAAATGGCCCTTTGCCTCCTTCCACAGATCTCTAAGCTTTACTTCTTTCCAGTGAACCTTGTGAAGTCCTTCTAACGCTTTCTGATGAACTCTGGCCTCTATGTTTTCAGAGATTTCTACATCCAGCTATACTATGCTGACAAAGATGTTTCCTGAGCATCTATTAAGTGCTGTGCAAGACTCTGGTGATAAGGACACATAGCTCTGCCCGCAAAGGGTACTCACAGTCTAGTGTTGGGGGCAGAATCAATCATGTACGCAGGTGACGATTGCACACCCAGAGGAAGATGCACGGCGTGGTGAAGTTCAAAGACGGGAGAGATGTTTCTGCCTGGTGGGCTGGGGAGGGATGAAGATCGGCATGGTCATGTCATAGTGAAGGCGGGACTGGACTCAGGCCTCATGGGCAGATGTGGACCGTCACACATGGCAGGAAGGGCACTCTAGATGCAGGCAACAGCAGAAGCTAGCGCCATGAGGCAAGGAAAGCACAGCTTTCTACAGGGCTAGGGGAGTCGATTGCATGAGGGGAGGACTCATGGGTGTGGGATCATGAGAGGCAAGACTGACCAGGTGAGGAACAGGGCCCTTCAGAGAAAAATACCAGTCTGGTTTCAATCAGAGCTATCCTGGTGTACCTAAGTGTTTGAGCTCCTACAAGGCAGGGTCTAGCCACTACTCAGTTTATAAACAGGTCAGCGCCTAGAACTGTGATCTGAACAGTGCGGATGCTCAGAGAGGCTCTGCCTCATGTCCCTGCAGGAGGCAGAAGAACTGGGGCCGAGGACTGGTGGTTAGGCCTGGAATGTTCATTCTCTCTCCCTTTCTTCAGGCCATTCCCTTGCTTCTTCCCATCGGTCACTTCCAAATCTCCATCTTCAAGTTCCAACTCAAAAGCTACCCTGCCCTAATGCCTTCTCAGCAACCCAGCCAGGAAAGCACTGCTGCTCCTTTGGAACCTGGGAGCTTCCTTAGAACGGTCCCTTGCATCTCCTGCACCCCCAGGCAATCCCACCCCACTCAGTATGTGTCTGTGCAGCAGCCCATCCCACCTTTCAGAGTGAAAGGTTTTTAAGCATCTCTCAGCACCTCTTCCCTTCCTGATATCCTCCAGGACCCTAACACAGCAACCACCTCATATTACATGCACAAGAGTGCAAGCTGCCTGAGACGGTCACCTTAAAAAGAGGCCACACTCCTTCCTGGGACCCAAGAGCAGTGTGCAAGAGGTGGTGTGAGGTCGCGGGTGGGGCCTGGGACAGCCTCTGGCATGAACTGGGACTGCACTTATCTGACTCTGTGCCTACTTGGCATCTGCCTGTGCCCTCAGGAAAAGCCTGTATCATGATGGCTGATTGCTGATAAGAGGGGGTAGAGCATGCTCTATTCACCTGACTCCCAGCACAGTCAAACCTGCAACCACTGCTCTGAATCACCCAGGAAAGTCCCACTTCCACCTTGTGTTTTTTTGACCTCTCCTTCGCGTGCATTAAAAGCACCAGGAGCAAGGCCGGTGAGGTGTCTCACACCTATAATCCCAGCACTTTGGGAGGCTAAGGCAGCCGGATCACGAGGTCAGGAGTTCGAGACCAGCCTGGCCAACATGGTGAAACCCCATCTCTACTAAAATACAAAAAAATTAGCCAGGCATGGTGGTGCATGCCTGTGGTCCAACAGCTCGGGAGGCTGAGGCAGGGGAATCACTTTTGGACCCAGGAGATGGAGGTTGCAGTGAGCTAAGATCATGCCACTGCACTCCAGCCTGGGTGACAGAGCAAGACTCCGTCTCAAAAAAAAGAAAAAAAAAGGCACCAGGAGCCAAAAAATATAGATGCCAGGGTGCTGGAAGAGCTCAGTGGAAATGTGAGCAGAGGGAACCTCTTTCTTGGTAGGATTTTGGGGTACACAGTTTTTTTCCTCTGAGGCAGATTCTCCTTACTCCAAATTGGGTGCCATGAGTCATAAGGAGCCATCTCTCTCTGATGATTTACAAACATCTCAACTCATTCTTTGCTTCTTAAAATTGGAGCGAGCTATCAAATGGCTTTATGAGGTATTCATCGAGCATCTCTATGTGCCCAGGGGTGTTGTTGAGGCTTTAGGGTTTACAACAGAATTTCAGCCCCAACCTGCCATTCAAGCCTCAACTCCAAGTGCACCTGCCGTGCTTCAGTGTCCCGGACGAGGCCTGCGGCAGCCACATGGGGCTGCCATCTTTTCTCACTCTGCCTACAAAGTCCCACCACCAGCCAGGATTCTGCTCAAGCTGTTGTCTCCACCTGGAATCCTCTTCCACCCCCATCTGCTTATTAAATTCCCAATAACCTACTTATTCTAAGGAATCCTGCCCACCCTCTTGTAAGGCCCAGCTCTAAGTTAACTGTTACTGGGAGACTGTACAGTTTCTCCCAGTCAGAACTCCACTGCCCCCACCACCTCTCTCATGGCAGAGTTCTGTGTCCCTCTCCAGGCACCGTCTGGAGTCTCCAATAAAGACTCTTTCCCATACAGAGGACTTGTCAGTGCGGTGAAGACAGAGACCAATACCCCAGAGATGAGGAGACCCAAGTGCTGGTCTAGTCTGACCTGGCAGTCGGTGACCTTGGACCCAGGGTCTTCAACTTTAGCCTGTTTTCCCATCTGCGGATGAGAGGCTTGTCCAGAGTAGGATTCCCAATCTGGATTCTGCCTAATCCTGTCTCCTGGAGCACCTGTTCAAAATACACTGGGTCCTCTCCCAGGCTGACAAAAGTAGACTCTCAGAGGGTAGAGCTTTCAATCTATATTTTTAACAAGCTTCCCAGCTGGGCGCAGTGGCTTATGCCTGTAACCCAAGCACTTTGGGAGGCCGAAGAGGGCGGATCGCCTGAGGTCAGGAGTTCAAGACCAGCCTAACCAACACAGAGAAACCCCGTCTCTTCTAAAAATACAAAAACAAAAAAACAAACAAAAAATTAGTCAGGTATGTTGGCACATGCCTGTAGTCCCAGCTACTCGGGAGGCTGAGACAGGAGAATCGCTTGAACCCGGGAGGCGGAGGTTGCAGTGAGCTGAGATCGTGCCATTGCACTCCAGCCCGGGAAACAAGAGTGAAACCCGTGTCTAAAAAAAAAAAAAAAAAAAAATCTTCCCAAGCAACCTGTGCATAGTCTGCCTGGTGCTCCTTTCAGGACTGGGGGTAGCACCTAGAGGGTTCCTAAAATCCTACAAAAATCCCGTGGTTCCTTGAATGATCCTTTCTCTGCTTCATGTGATGCTCCCTAGAATAAACTACATCAACAGCACCACTGTGAGTACAACTCCAGTGCTTGAATGAGAAAACCCTGGGTCATGACTAGGTCTCATGTCTCTCAAAGGGCTACTGTGCTTTGTGGAAATTTTGGATGGTTGGAAACACATAATGATAGCCAACCCATTTATATTAGTTAGCTTGGGTTGACCTAACAAAACACCACAGAGCAGGTGGCTTAAAAAACAGAAATTTATTGCTCACAGTTCTGAAGCCTGAGATATCCAAGATCAAGGTGCTGGTCAATTTGGTAATGAGTGAAGCCTTCCTTCCCGGCTTGTAGCCGGCAGCCTTCTTACTGTATCCCGACTGGGAAGAAAGAGAGCTCTGCTATCTCTTCTTCACCTTATAAGGGCCCCAGCCCTATCAGATTAGGGCCCTAGCCTTCCAACCTCATTTAACCTTTATCACCACCTCCTCACAAGCCCTGTCTCCAAAGACAGGCACACCGGAGGTTTGGGCTTCCGCATGAGTTTGAGAGACGTACAAACACTCAGTCCGTGATAACTCTATGCCTGAGGCTTTAGAGAAAGTCAAGCTGACCTAACAGGCAAATTGGTATCCAGATAAATTCTATTACCTATTTTCCCCAATAAGTTCTTGAGAAATAGCTGCTGCTCCCACCGTTGCATGGTTGATTGAGACTTACGATTCAGGAAGGCGGTGGCTGCTTCCTCCCCATGGTGGTGCAGGCTCCATGCGGCACTCAGTGTGCCCTCCTGGGATGCTTTTGGATAGGTTTCAGTGTGCTTCTGGCTTGTTCCTGTCTATTTCTCCAGCTGGATTTCCAACTGTTCTGCCAATCCTGTGACCACTCCCATTTCCTTCTAACGAAATGTCTTTTCTACCTGAGTCAGCTAGCATGGGTTTCTACTGCTTGCAACTCAGGTCTTGCTGACACATATATCATGCAAGGAATGATAGAAGGCGCTGCAAGTATTTCTTCTGAAGCAGGGAAGTCTCCAGGAGTTGCCCGCTTATCTACAGATACCTAAAGGGCTATTGTATGGAAGGGAAACAGGATGCTTCTGTGTGGCTTCAGAAGGCAATACTGGACCCACAAGGAGAGCTTTAGGGAGAACTATTTCAACTCAACACAAGACAGAAGCTTCAGAGCTAGTCCTCAGGAACATGGTGCTGAGGGATGAAGTGAGCTTGCTCCTGTCACTGTGGGGGCGGGGTGGGGCGGTGGCAGTGGAGGCTGGACCTTTTTGTCAAGGATGCTGTGTAGAAAAGGTCTGTTTTGACACATAGACCAATAGAACAGAGTAGAGATCTCAGATATAAGACCACACATCTACAACCATCTCATCTTTGGCAAACCTGACAAAGACAAACAATGGGGAAAGGATTCTCTATTTCATAAATGGTGCTGGGAAAACTGGCCAGCCATATTCAGTAAACTGAAACTGGACCCCTTCCTTATACCTTATACAAAAATTAACTCAAGATGGATTAAAGACTTAAATGTAAAACCCAAAACCATAAAAACCCTAGAAGAAAATCCAGGCAGTACCATTCAGGACATAGGCATGGGCAAAGATTTTATGATGAAATTGCCAAAAGCAATTGCAAAAAAAGCAAAAATTGACAAATGGCATCTAATTAAACTAAAGCGCTTCTGTACAGCAAAAGAAACTATCATCAAGAGTGAACAGGAAACCTACAGAATGAAAGAAAATTTTTGCAATCTACCCATCTGACAAAGGTGTAATATCCAGAATCTACAAGGAACTTAAACAAATTTACAAGAAAAAACAACCCCATCAAAAGGTGGGCCAAGGACATGAACAGAGACTTCTCAAAATAAAACATTTATGTAGCCAACAAGCATATGAAAAAAAGCTCAACATCAGTGATCATTAGAGAAATGCAAATCAAAACCACAATGAGGTACCATCTCACGCCAGTCAGTATGGCAACTGTTAAAAAGTCAAGAAACAACAGATGCTGGCAAGGCTGTGGAGAAATAGGAACGCTTTTACACTGTTGGTGGGAATGTAAATCAGTTCAACCATTGTGGAAGACAGTGTGATGATTCCTCAAGGATCTAGAACCAGAAATATCATTTGACCCAGCAATTCCATTACTGGGTATATACCCAAAGTAATATAAATCATTCTATTATAAAGATACATGCGCACATATGTTTATTGCCATACTATTTGTAATAGCAAAGACATGGAATCAACCCAAATGCCCAACAATGATAGACTGGATAAAGAAAATGTGGTACATATACCATGAAATACTATGTAGCCATAAAAAGGAATGAGGCCATGTCCTTTGCAGGGACATGAAGCTGGAAGCGATCATTCGCAGCAAACTAACACAGGAACAGAAAACCAAACACTGCATGTTCTCACTCATAAGTGGGAGCTGAACAATGAGAACACATGGACAGAGGGAAGGGAACAACACACACCAGGGCCTGTGGGGAGTAGGGAGGGAAAACATCAGGATAAATAGTTACTGCATGCGGGGCTTCATGCCTAGGTGATGGGTTGGTAGGTGCGGCAAACCACCATGGCACACGTTTACCTGTGTAACAAACCTGCACGTTCTGCACATGTGTCCCAGAACTTAAAATAAAATAAAATTTTAAAAAAGAAAGAATGTTTCCTTGATGAAGATATCTCTGCTTTTAAGATGTATCTGCATTTTTAATTACACTTCAGTACAATTGACGTGCCATTTAAGTAATTAATCTTCCACTAGAGGAAAGGAAAGGGAAGAGAAGGGAAGGGAACCATCTAGTCTTTTACTTATTAATTTTTATATTAGTAATTTTTATGATTATGAGAAGAATCTATAAACCATGTGAAGTGGAGAAAATTTGGTTACTAGAGAAAAACATGAAGTGGAAAATAAATACCACCTATAACCCACCACACATTTTGGCAAATGTGTTTCCAGTCCAGTCTTTTTATATCAATTAGATATGTACTTTTTTTATTGAAATATAATTCACATACCACACAATTCACTGGTTTCAATTGTACCACTCAGTGGCTTTTACTATATTCACAGAGCTGTGCCACCAACCATTGCCACAGTACAATTTCAAACATCTTCCCCAGCCTCTCAGAGAAACCTCCATCCCTTTTAGCTGTCACCCTTTCAGCTGTCACCCCTTAACTTCCCTCATCTCCTCCATCTCCAGCCCTGGGAAACCAAGAATCTACTTTGTGCTTGTATGGATTTGCCTATTCTGGACATTTCATATAAATCGAATCATATAATATGTGGGGGTTTTTTTGGTAACCAGCTTCTTTCACTTAGTATAATATTTTCAAGGTTTATTTGTGTTGTAACGTGAGTGCGCACCTCCTTCGTATGGCTGAGTAATAGTCTGGTGTTTGGGTATAACACAATTTTTAATCCATTCATCACTTGATAGACATTTGGGACATTTGGGTTGTTTGCGCTTTTTGGCTATTATGAATAATGTTACTATGAACTTTTGGCACAAATTTTTGCATGGGTGTATGTTTTCATTTCTCTTGGTTATATACCTAGAAATGGAATAGAATGGGCTTATGTGGTAACTCTATGTTTAACCTTTTGAGGAATTGCCAGACTGTTTTCCAGAGTCTCTCCACTATTTTACATTTCCACCAGCAGCGTATGAGAATTCTGATTTCTCCACACCCTCACCAACAATTTTTATTATTTGTCTTTTTTATGACAGCCATCTAGTGTTATATAATTTCATTGTGGTTTTTATTTGCATTTCCCTGATAGCTAATGACTCATCTTTTTATGTGTTTATTGATCATTGTATATAGTCTTATGGAGAAATAGCTTTCAGATCTTTTGCCTTTATTTAAAAAAAAAAGAGAGAACAAGTGTCTCTCTGTTGCTCAGGCTGGAGAGCAATGGTACAATCATAGCTCACTGTAACCTCAAACACCTAGGCTCAAGCCATCCTCCTACCTTAGCCTTCAGGGTAACTGGAACTATAGGCATGCAACAACATTCCTGCCCAAAAAGAAATTGATGAGGACTCCTGGGCTTAAGCAGTTCTCCCGCCTCAGCCTCCCAAAGGGCTGGGATTACAGGTGTGAGCCACTGCACCTAGTCTTTTGACCGTTTTCAGATTGTGTTCATTGTCTTTTTAGTATTGAGTTTTAAGAGTTATTTATATATTCTAGATACAAACCCCTTATCAGATATATGGTTTGCAAAATTTTTCTCCCATTCTTTTGGCTGTCTTTTATACTTTCTTGGTGGTGTTCTTAGAAATACAAATATTTTTAGTATCAATGAAATCCAACTTAACTATTTTTTCTTTTGTTGCTCATGCTTTTGGAGTCATATCTAAGAAACCATTGCCTAATGCTAGGTCATTAAGATTTATCCCATCTTTTCTTTTAGGGGTTTTCATAATTTTAGCTTTACATTTGAGTCTTTGATCCATTTTAAGTTAATTTTTGTGAATGGTGTGAGGAATGGGAAAATTTATCCCATGCCTCTCTCCTAGCTTCTGGCAGTTCTTGGCTTTTCTTATAGATAAATCTTTCCAATCTCTGCCTCTGGCTTCACATGGCTCTCTCCTGTGTATGTCTCTGTGTCTTCTCTTTTTCTGTCTCTTTATCAGGATTTAAGGCCCACTCTAAATTCAGGATGATCTCATCTCAAGATCTTTAACTTAATGACATCTGCCAAGACCCAATTTCCAAATAAAGTCACATCCACAGGTGCTAGGGGTTGGTATTTGGAGTATCTTTGGGAGGCACCACTCACACCTGTCCCGTGGTCTTCCTCTGAGGATGGGTGAGGAGAAGATCAGTTACTTACTCACTCATCTGCTCACTCCTCCAACAGCTATGCCAAAGGTCATAGGAGGATCCAGGGATATGATAATAAATTGGAGAGGATCCTTGCCCTGGAGAATATCACTATTTGGAAGGGCTTTGGGATATGAATAACAGAAACACAAGGAAAGGGATGGTGAGAGCCATAAGATTCGGAAGCTGAAGGACTAATGGAAGCAGCCCAGAGAGGGAAGGGCTTTCAAAGCAGAGGCTGACATTGTCAGCAAAGGCAGAGGCTAGAGAGCAAAAATAGGTCAGGAATCCTTGCAACTGAGTTTGGCAGTAATGGCGGGTGTGGGCGAGAGAGAGAGACAAAGATAGAGAAGCAGTCACCCAGAAAACTCAGGCTCCAACTGCCATAGTTTCTTTTAGGATATGTGAGGGTGGGCTGGGGTTTGCAGGACCACTTATTCATACCTTCGGGACCCTCCAAAACTGGCCTGGTAGTCTAGAACTCCAGGTAGGGATCACCCTGAACTGAACCTGCAGCTAGAAGATGTGGGCTGACCATGAATTCCATATACCTTCACAGGTGAAGTTGTATGAGCCCAGAACCAGCTGAGTTCCCCAATCCAGGCTCATGCTAAAGCCAGTTCTGATCATCTCACTTCCTCATTTGGCAAGAAAACGCCTCTGTCGCAAACCAATTGCTGAGCTTCATGTCTTTCATGCAAATTTTGCTATAAAATCCTGTCACAACAAACAGAACTGAGCTGCTCCTCGGAGCTCCATGAACGTAGATGGCAGGACTGTCTTACTTTTTGAGGTAGCAGTCACGACAGTTGTCATGGGGTAATATTATTGCTCCAGAGCCCTGTGGCCAGGGTCCTGCTGAGGGCTCCACACAGAGGGGACAGGGTGGCATGTAGACAGAAGGCTCTCACTGACTGGACCTTGGGACCCTTGAGATTCTGAGCCCAAGAGGTGTCACCCCACCCCATTGGACCTTATCGACGGCCTCTCCCCTGAAGAGCAAAGGCTGAGGGCAAAAAGGAAAACAGATTAACAGCGCAAAAGCTCCCTGGGTCTTCAGCCAGGAGCGGCAAGTTCCTTACAAATTTACACACATGTGGCAGAAGCGTAACAATAAGCAGAGTCGTGCTGGGCTAGCTGCGCCGCTTCTGCCGTGGAAGAACAGGTTCGGCAGCCAATCTCCTGGGAGGAGCCCTCTTTGGTGGAAATTTGGACACACAGGAAGAGCACACACTGGTGGGGCCTTGTTCCCTGCAGCACCATCTGGGTGAAAAGGAGGCCAGCATACGCAGTTTGGAAGCAAGAAGTCACAGCATGAAATATGCAGGACTTCCCTCTCCTAAGGCACAGTTTTCCCAGGTTCAAAATAAGCAGCGTGATGTCCTCTGCCCACCCACCCCCTCCTTTTCTTGTAGTGTCCCTTATCTCACTTAACAAAGTGTGGGCTCTCACCAAACCAGAGAGCCTTCCTGAAACAGGCAGAGAGAGCACTGCTCCCCACCCCTCACATCCTCCCTACCCTTTCCCCCGACCCCCCTCGCCAAGCCACAGAGGGAGGGCAGTTCCCAGGGTAAGCCTCGTGTACCAAAAACGGTCTGTGCTCTGCGTGTGCGAGGATTGAGAGCCACAGTGGACTAAAGCCAGGAGACTTGGTGTCGAGTTCTAGCTCTGCCACCAACATGTTCAGCGGCTTGGAGCATGTCACTTGGTGTCACCACGCCTCCGTTTTCTCTCTGTAAAACAATCCAGGTAGTACGGTATTTCAGTGTTGCAAAGATCCTTAGAGATTTAGTCCAGGAGTTGGCAAAATACAGTCCACTGGCCAATCTTGTTCACCACTTGTCTTTGTAAATAAAGTTTTATTGGAATACAACCACGCCCCTCCATTTACAACCCATCTGTGGCTGCTTTCATGCTACAGTGGTGGCTTTGGATAGTTGAGAGAGATACTGACCATGTGGTCTACAAGCCTAAAATATTATATTTGTCTCTTTACATAAAAAGTTTGCCAGCCCCTGCTCTAGGCCAACATCATCATGTTAACAACACAGAAAGAGAGGCATGGGCAGATTAAGGAATTTGCCAAACTCATAGAGCAAGTCAGGGCAGAGGCTGGGACAGCCTGGCGCTCCTGATTTACATTGGCCCAGAGTTCTTACCTGGTCTAAAGCTCTCCGTCTGATTCTAGGTAGAAGCTGTGCTGGGGAGAAGCCTTGTGGGGATAGAGGAGCCGGTTCCATGAAAGAAGTCTATGCAGTTGGGGCAGAACCCTGAGACTTCTGCAGCAGGGACAGTTCTGTTGCATTCTGTATGGGTCAGCGTGAGGCTACCACACCTCAGGGCTGCTGAGCTTAAGAGAGGAGCCAAATGGCTCTCTTGATAGGAAATGGGGCTTCAGGTTGAAATCAGATGAGAGCTGGCCTCTGAGGACATTTTAACCACAGGTCACAGCTCTTGGTAAACTTTAGTTGGCTTTTGAACCACGGGGAGACATTTTTTCTTGCCTCTTTACTTACTGGCTATTTCCTCCTTCTAGCATTCATTAATCTGACTGGTTAACCATTGAACCCAACTCAGTCTCCTCTTGTTTCAAATCTTGTTCTCCCTGTTGGCTTCAGAAAAAGAGTTCACACTAAACAAACCTACTTTTTTTCTCTTTCTTTTCACAGCCAGAGCCAAGTGATAAAGGAGGTGGGGTCAGGGGTGCTATGTTTACTCTAAAAGACACACCCAAACCTGAGCTCTGGGAGTGGGGAGGGCCCTTCTAATGCAGGCCAGCCATTTTCAGAAAGAAATGTATCAGCTGCAACAGACACAAGGCAAAAGCAGCTTAATTAATTGGCCTATGGGCACAATTTAGAGAAGAGATTTATACAAGCCTTAATTTTTCTGATTTCTCCATCATTGTGTAAAGTATCATATTTCCTGCTTCTTAACACAATTGCTATTTGCTTTAAATCCACCAGTTAAATGGAGAGTGGCTTATAAAAGGAGAATTATAAGAATGGAGGAGGGAACAGAGCCGAGGCTGTGGGAAGGAAAAAGAGAAAGGGGCTGGGGCAATGTAAGGGAAGAGCCTTCTGAACAGAAGGGCCTCAGAGCCTGACATCAGCCCTGTCACCACTTTCCTGTGAATTGTTAGGGTCTGCTGGAATGTAAGCTCCATGAGGACAGGATTTTATTTGTTCACTGCTGTATCCCCAGCACCTAGAATAGTGTCTGACATGGAGTAGGTGCTCAGATGTGTATTTGCTGAATGAACGAACACAGTCTTTCAGCAGGGAATTGAGGCCCCACAGTGGTTCATGTGTTGTCTTTGTCCAAACGGATTCAGAAGCTCCTCTTGAATTGGCACAGAAGTCACCATAAAACTTCATGAAGGACAAGAAGGACTCTCTCTCTCCTGAACCATGAAGATAGCTGCAGAAAAATCTCACCCCCAAGGGTAGTATTTCCACTAAACACCCAGGGAGATCCAGGCAGTGCCCAACACAGCCCTGTCATTGTGAGTTTCTCCTTGTCATTCAAAGGGACCATATGTACACAATGTACACAATGGGAATTTATACCTTATTCTAATAATGCCTACTAGTTAGTGAACACTATTTTGTGTCAGGCATTTCACAAATATTTTCTCATTTAGTCTTCATGGTAACATTGCTAGGTAGCTATTATTACCCCCATTTTACAGATGAGAAAATGAAAGGTTACTGATATGGTTTGGCTGTGTCCCCACCCAAATCTCATCTTGAATTATGGTTCCCATAATCCCCACACGTGGTGGGAGGGACCCAGTAGGCGGTAATTTATTCATGGGCGTGGTTACCTCCATGCTGTTCTCGTGATACTGAATGAGTTCTCATGAGATCTGATGGTGTTATAAGGGGCTTTTCCCCTTTTGGTAGGCATTTCTCCTTCCTGCCACCATGTGAAGGATGTGTTTGCTTTCCCTTCTGCCATGATTGTAAGTTTCCTGAGGCTTCCCCAGCCATGCTGAGCTGTAAGTCAATTAAACCTCTTTCCTGTATAACATACTCAGTCTTGGGTATGTCTTTATTAGCAGTGTGAGAACAGACTAATACAGTTACTGAATTTGCTTATGGTCACACAGAGTTCTGATCTGTCTTAGGCTTGTCTGACCCTATAGACAGTGCTCCTTCCCCCAACCACACATTCTGCCTCTGTCTCTGTAACCTTGGGCAAGTCACTTCTCTTGGGCTTCAATGTTTGTGTTCTCAAATGTGGGAAGCTGAGCGATGTTATTTAGAAAGTTTTCCACCTGTGGGTCTGTGAACAGATGACTTCATTCCTTTGCAGGCTACAGCTTCATTTTGCTTTTGGAAGTTGAAATAGCAACACCCTTTACTGAGAGTAGCTGAAAATCTTTTCTGTTCCCTCAGTTTGGTGATACTTTGAGGCACTCTGCTAAGTCCTGGCTTTGCTTCCTTTTATATAGTAAAGAGTAGCCCAGTTTTTAATCTTAGCCCCAGCCTCAGCTGGGCTCCCACCACCATCCTTGCTGCCCTGGCTGTAGGTCTTTGCAATGGTCCCAAATTCTTTTCCATTTGTTCAGTGCAATAGTAAAAGTAAGCAGACCCCTTCCAGGAAGCTGTGCACAGGGCAGCATGCTGACGCGGCTTCCCTGTGCTCTGAGAGCAGGTTTCCTCAGACAGCCTCTCAGGCACCGGCGAACATGTTTCCTTCTAAAGCTGAGGTGGTGAGGGGAGAAGATGGAAGAGAGGTAGCTTTTGGAAGGTGAAAAGGAAGAACCCTGGGAAGACAGCAGTGTTCAAGGTGGGGCCAGGAGTCTTAACTCACTTGTTGCCCAACTGAGGAGCGAGGGGAAGTTCAGATTCTTAGCACTAGAAGGGACCCTGGTGATAATTAAACACATAGTTTCAGGTTTTCCTAGCTGCAGAATCCAGTGTGTAAAACAGAAAAGTTCCATTCTGGTTAAATTCAGAGGAGTGGGGTGGCAGTTGTCTTCTCCCTTCTCCTCCAACCTGTCCTGGCCACCTAACAGTGGTCTCCAGGACTTCCACAGAGCACAGTTGGAAATGATTCTAATCTAACCACAACTCCAATTTTCCACCCAGAGTCCTATAAAGGGAACCATTTACCAAGCCCAGTCACTGGTGGCAGCCTTGGAGCTCACATTCAGAACACAGCCACTGACTTGGTAAGCCAATAAGGTGGTTAGGAAAAGGGTCAAATGTGGTGCTGGCCCAGGAAGGATAATGAAAAAGCACATGCAGTTACGTCAACATCAGTCATTTTGCTTGGGTAGCCTTGAGAGCAGGCCATACTGAGAGCAAGGCAAGCTGTGATGCCACTGCTTTGCCAGCTTTTGAACCTCTGGATCCATTCAATTACCGTGACTTCCTACTCTCCCCATGCCTCACACATTCACCTTATTGTATCTGCCAAGAAGCCTCATCCAGTGCTTCTGTTTCTTGGTTTCCCCATTTTCTCTAAGTCTATAGTTCTCTCCTAGTTCACTTCTTTTCATATCACCCTAAACTCTGGGATCCATCTCCAACCAATCTCTAACCAATATCCCCCAACTCCATCACCTTCAGACAGTGACTGTCTATATGCTGATGACTCAAGCCCTGCCCTTTCTCCTAAGTTTCTTTTTTCTTTTTTTCTTTTCTTTTTTTTTTTTTTTTTGAGACAGGGTCTTGCTCTGTCACTCAGGCTGGAGAGCAGTGGCATGATCATAGCTCACTGCAGCCTCAACCTCCGGGACTCAAGCAATCCTCTTGCCTCAGCCTCCAGAGTAGCTGGGATCACAGGCACACACCATCATACCCAGCTAAATTTTGAATTGTTTTATAGGGACAGGGTCTCATCATGTTGCCCAAGCTGGTCTCAACCTCCTGAGCTTAGGCAGTCCTCCCACCTCAGTCTCCCAAAGTGCTGGGATTACAGGCGGGAGCCACCGCACCTGGCCCTTCTCTCCTACGTTTCTAATCTAATTCATAACCAAAGGCTGAGTGGGACTGGCCAATAGGTGAAAACAACAGGCCAGCATTCTCCAAGTCCAAAGAGAGAGGCCACTAATCAAGCACAGCATGTGTTTCTCAAGCCTGACTGCATATCAGAATCACCTGGAAAATTTTTACACCACTAAGAGGGCTGAGCTCCTTCCCAGAGCAATAAAACCAGAGTCCATAGGGGTGGAGACCAAGCACTGGTACTTTTAAAACAAACTTTCCATTTTAATTATAATATGCATCAGATAATTACATTAAAGCCTTGGCAAACTTTTACAACGTGAATATCCGTATGTAACTACCACCTAGATCGAGACAAAAAAAAAAAAAGCTCTACCAGCAGGCCAAAGCCCCCCTCAAGTTCCTTCAGGTCTTCTCCTTCCTCCCCAGGATAGTAACACTCTCCTGATTTCTAACACCACACATTTGTTTTGCCTCTTTTTGATATTTATAGAAATGCAGCCGTAGAGTATGTACTCTTTGTGTCTGACTTCCTTGATTCACTATTTTATTTTTAAGATTCATTCATGGGCCTGGCGCAGTGGCTCATGCCTGCAATCCCAGCACTTTGGGAGGCTGAGGCAGGCGGATCACCCGAGGTCAGGAGTTCAAGACCAGCCTGATCAACGTGGCAAAACCCCATCTCTACTAGAAATACAAAAATTGGCTGGGCATGGTGGCGTGTGCCTGTAATCCCAGCTACTCGGAAGGCGGAGGCAGGAGAATTGCTTGAACCCAAGAGGTGGAGGTTGGGCCAAGATTGTGTCACTGCATTCCAGCCTGGGCAATAGAGCAAGACTCTGTCAAAAAAAAAAAAAAAGTTCATTCATGTTGTTCTGGGTCGCTGTTGTTCATTTCTTTTCATTGCTGTATAGTATTACATTGTCTGCCCGCTATGGTATGAATGTTTGTGTCCCACCCAAATTTCATATATTGAAATCTAATCTCCAATAGTATTAAGTGGTGGGGGCTTTAGGAAGTGAATGGGTTACAAAGGCTCTCCCCCCATAAATGGAATTAGTACCCTCATAAAAGAGGCTTGAAAAAATCCTGTTTGTCCCTTTTGCCATGTGAGGACACAGCAAAAGGGTGCCATCTATGATGAACAGGGCCTTACCAGACATCAAATCTGTTGACGTTTGCATCTTAGACTACCTAGCCTCTAGAACCATGAGCCATAAATTCTGTTGTTTGTAAATTACCCAGTTGAGGTATTCAGCAGCCTGAACAGGTTAAGACACTAATTACGCATACACAGCATATAACTATTCTATTGATACACATGGATTGTTCCCTTTTTTTACATCTTACAAATAATGTGTGTATTTTTGTTTTGTTTTTGTTTTTGTTTTGGACATAGGATCTCTCTGTTGCCCATACTGGAGTGCTGTGACACAATCATAGCTCATTTCAGCCTTGAACTTCTGGGCTCAAGGGATCCTATCACCTCAGCCTCCCAAGTAGCTAGGACTACAGGTGCACGCCACCACACCCAGCTAATTAAAAAAAAAAACTGTGTGTGTGTCAAGATGGGAGTCTCACTATGATGCCCAGGCTGGTCTCAAACTCCTGGCCTCAAGCAATACTCCCGCCTTGGCCTCCCAAGATGCTGGGATTACAGGCATGAACTAGGGCACTTGGCCAAACAGTGTGGTCTTGAACATGCCTATACATGTTTTTTGACACAGGCACGTATGTGTTTCTGTTTACTCTATAAACCTAGGAGTGGAATTGCTAAGATAAGCAAATGTTTAGTTTTAATGGATAACACCAGTTTCTAAAGTAGTTGTACCATGCTGGAGTTTTGCAAAAGCTTCCCAGGTGATTTTAATGAGTGTCAAGAGTTGAGAATCCTGCCCAAGACTTACTAAGGGGTGGCAAAACCAGCCCATTTTTAACCCTCACTTTGAAACCCTTCCCACTATTATCAAAAGATTGGGGACGGGAACAAGGGAGGGCATCACTGGGAGAGGTTTGTTCTCTGCCTTGTTGGGAATAAGCGAACCGGGATTTCTGTCTCTCTGCACATTGATCTCCCTTCCTCGGAACACCCCTCTTCCACTGTGTCTATGGGTGAATTCTCAGGCATTTTTCAAGGTGGAACTCAGTGTCACCCTTTCAGAAAGTCCTTCCCTACCTTATAGGCAGAATCGCCTCACCCCTGGTAAAGCGACCAGTCCACTGTGAGGCTTGTTATCCCCGTGTATTCCATCTCATGGGGTCTTCACCTTATGTGTGCGTCCTCGTTTAGACCACAGCTACCTGAACATAAGCAGGGCCGTGTCCTATGTGTCTTTTATTCTTCAAGCCTAGCATAGTCCCTCTATAAAAAGTGCTCAATAAATGCTTATTGTGATAGAAAATTCATAATGTGACTAAAATATGAATTAATAAATGCTTAAGACTACCAGCTATGAAGAAAGGATTGAGTCTTGTTCTGATTAGGTAGTATACAACAGACCATTCCAAATGCAGTGGCTTTATACAACAATGGACTATCATCCTCCCCAGCCTGTGGGTTGACTGGGTTCAGTTCCTATGTGGTTCCTGCCTGGAGTCTGGTTACAGTCAGCTGGAGGCCCAGGAAGGGATCATCTAAAGACTCAACTGGGATGGGCGTGAAAAATGGCCTCTTCCCCCACATGCGTGGGCCACAGTCGCAATGGCTGGAAGAACTGAGGCCTGAATAGGTGGCCATCCACATGTGACTCATTTAGGAGTCCTCACACCATGACAGTCTCAGGGTAGCCATACTTCTTACATGACAGTGGTTTTCCTCAAACAAGCATTCCTGAAGACCCAGGCCACACTGCAAGGCTTCCTATGACCCACTCAGAAGTCACACGGCATCACTTCTGCAGCATGCTGGTGGTCAAAAGCAAGTCACAGAGCAGGGCAGGTTCAGGAGGAGGAGACTTCACAAGGACATGGACCCATGTCCAATCAGAAACCTACATCAGGAAAGAAAAGTGAAACTTCATTACCCTAAGCATCACTGAAAGCAACACAGGGCAAAAATAAAAACTTCATGTAAAATATATATGTTTAAATAAAATACCTTAAGATATTTTAATAGGGCTTAGGGCCTCAGCTGTATATCGTATTGCACATATTATCAGGATAAACCTATAACACTTTGGGGCAAACAAACATTTGTGAGTCTCTGCAGAAGACAAGAAACTCAGAGTTTTAGAGAATGGCCAAAATCACCCCAGGGAACCTATAGGAAGCATTGCTTGTTGGTGGGGCAGCACTTTCAGCATTTGATGTAGAGCCTTATGCAGGTTTTCCTTCAGATCCCGCTTCTTAACATGTGGGCAGCTACCTGGACTGAATGAAAGGTGCTGGGAGTTAAAGACAGGCCAGGAAAACAACAACTCACAGGTAAGAATGTTCAACACATTTGTTTGTAGCAAACAAGAAAGAACCTCGGTGTCCAACAGTAGAGGACTTGTTACAAGCTGTTATGTTCTTACACAGTGGAAAATTATGCATTTGATACTGCTTAATGAATTTTAATGGCAAAGTGTACAACAAACCATCAGGTGAAAAAGGAGTCAATATACAAAAGTTTGCATGAAATATTCCAATTATGTTCAAATATGTACATGCACAGAGAAAAGGCTAAAAGGTTATATATCTTAATTTCAACAGTAGATATGTCCACATAGCAGAATTATTAAAATGTTTTAACATGTTTTACTTTGTGCTTTTTGTATTATACAAGTTCCACACAGTGAGCACATATAATTTTCATAATCAGAAAATAAAATTAAGAGTGAGATGAAACTCCAGTGGGAAGTTGGGGCTGCGTCATGGCCCCAAGGCCCCCCCAAAAGCCTTTTATCCTGGAGCTGCTAGGGATCAATATATTATCTCTTGTAGATGTGAGGCCTTATCAGCTACTACCTTAGATCAATACTGTGTGCTCTCATGTAAGTTTCTTAACTTCTCCATTCTCTGGTTATCTACTCCATCAAACAGGGGAGTTGGACAGTAGGATTAAATCTTTAGAACTTCAGAATTTACAAGCACTTTCTCTTATCCTATTCCTCTTCACAATAGCCGGATGGCAGAATCAAGGCAAGCCTTATCACTGTTTGGCCTATGGGAAAACAGGCTCAGCAAAGTCAGGTCAGTAGCCCAGGGTCACACAGATGTTAGGCAGCGGTGAGCATTCAAAACCAGGTCTTTGGGCTTTACTCCAGCAGATCTGACTGGTAAATCAGGATTCCTTTCCTAGATCAACTGTAAACTCCCATCCTGTCATAAAACTCCGGCCAAAATTTCTGCCTTCTGAGATCACATATCCTAGGACTAATGTCTTTCTTGTTTCTGTATTCCAAGGATCTTAAAGGCAGCTCTAACATCTCCTTTGAGTTATCTCCAGTTCTGTCTGCTCCTGCTCAAATGACATTGTATGGGGTCCACACACCATTTTAGAATCCCAGAATCAGAATTGGAAAATATATTTAAAGGTCATCTGTCCTAAGAAGTCCCTGTCAGTCTTTTACAGAAAGCCTCTCATCTGAAAAAGTCCCTCGACAATGCTCCCAAGGGGGTCCTTGGGCCCAGGGCCAGGGCGATGAAGTGCCCTTTCCTCTACCGAGTGGGGAGACATACACAGGTGACCTTAATTCAAAGAGGGAATGTTTGGGGCTGCAAAGTTTGAGGCCGAGTGACTCAGGCCTTTTCACAGGGACATCGTGCACAATGGAAAGATCTGAAAGTTCCAAAGGGAAAGAAAACCAGAAAGGCCAAGACAACTCACACACACAGAAAGCCAGCTTAGAACAAATCCAGAGGGCCAAGAAGAAACCTGTGGAAAAAAATCTCTCTCCTAAGAGGGCTCTATTGTGTGTACTCTGGGTCAAAAGAGCCTCGCTCTGCAGAGCGGCTCTCCCACCTGCTGGGATTCTCCAGAGGAATCCTTTTTCTTCCGTCTGAGTTCAGCAAACTTCCTGCTTCCTCTACCCAGCGCAGCGAGCCCCTCTCTGTACTGATCAGCAAGGGTGACAGGGCTTGGCAGCCATGGTGGCAGCTTGCTGGGGCACTGGCACAAAGTGACTTCGTAAATACCGCAGCTTTGATAATTTCTTGCTTCACTGGTCTCTTGGGATTCTTTCCATCTGCGTTAAGAAAACAAAAAGTTGGACCTCCCTCTGCCCACAAAGTTAGATGCTTTTATTTTGTGTAGGACTTAAAGAAATAGATATCTATTTCTATACCACTTCATTGAGTAATATATACTTTTTAATGGGGGGGTTGGCAAACATTTTTAAGTGCCCCCTCTCCGAACCTCAATGAAAGCTTTGTTAATATAGACATTTACAAAGTAAAACTTTATTCAGTTTGAAATGGAAACACTTGGTTAGAATCCCAAATGACTTGTATGCATGAAAACTGTTATGCAGAAAAAATTCCTACAATGGTTTTTTTTCCTCCAAATGAAATTCTTTTGTGTTAATAAATATTTCTTCATTTATGTCCAATCTTAGGGTGCTCACAAAGAGATCTCCTTAGGTTACATCCCTTTGTTTCTGAGATTTAATGAAAGAATTTTATGTAAGTTAAAGAAAGGAATTCTTGTTAGATTTATATATCAAAGTAAACCACAGACCTCAGTTATTTCGCCCAACTTGGCCACCCCACCCCATCTGATGTCAGAGTCTTTCTCTAATACTGTCTTGAGTCAACTGTGTGCCAGGATAGTGCCTGCTGGAAACTGGATGGAATTCTCATTTAATTATCACAACAGCCCTATGAGAGATGTGAACTCTCTGTTTTCAAATCATGAAACTAAGTCAAGAGAGCTCAAGAAATTTGTCCGCTATCACAAAGCTAAATAGGACTGTGGGACAGAAAGACTCCTAAGCCCAAGGACTTTTTAAATATTAGAACTTCTCCTTCCTATGGTCATCTAGTCACTGCTCAAACCCTCCCTACACACTGCTTTCCAGTTGGAGGCAGTTTTTGTTGTTTTATAGTGTTCTTCCCTGTCCTGAGCCTTCTTGTAAAGTCCACCTGTAAGTTCAACCACAAGCATGATTTTATACCTCAGGCAGGAACCAGATCTAGAGGGCATTCTAGGAGGAGTAGGCTAATAACCACATACTAGGAATGTGTTGTTTGCAAGCTGCAGGTCAGAAGAAGTTGAGGCTGGCATACAAGGAAGTATCATTCTAGGGCTGTGTCAGGCCAAGCCCACAGCTTCTGTGCTGTGGATAAGGATAAGGGACGCTGAGTTTTAGGAAGTATAAGGGCTGGCTGATACACGAGGGGAAAGCAGACAGTGAACCTCAACCCCCACACCACAGGCCCAGTTCACAGGAAGACAGCTCAGGAAGGAGACACAGGTTCTGATAAGATATAAGCTCCAGATCCCACCCTGCATTTGTCTGCAAGCCATTTCCTGGTTCATGGATGGCAGTGACCTGGAAATATGGACCACAGAGGTCATGATTCTAGAAATGCTGCCCTGCCTCACTAAATTCCCCAGCCAGCTACACCCTCTGCCTTCACAGCCCTTCGTATAGACTCCTTTACCACATAGTCTCATCATGAGTTGTTTTAATTAGTAGTCTCTCCTTTAGCCTATGCCCTTGTAGTTCAGGGGTTGGTAAACTATTACCCATGGGCAAAATCTATCCCACTGCCTGTTTTTGTAAATAAAGTTTTATTGGAACACAGCCATGCACATTCATTTTTATATTGGCTATGACTGCATTCTCTACAGCTTCAGAGTTGGGTAGTTGTAATAGGAACCACAAAGCCTAAACTACTTGTCACTTGTCCTTTTATAGAAAAAGTTTACCAACCCCTGTTCTTGAGAGCAAGGACAAAGTTCTATTTATCTTATATTCCCATTAGGGTCTTGTATCTCCAACATTATAGCCATACTTTTAAAATCTGTAAAATGACAGTGATATCTCTGTCACAGAGATATAGTGAAATATAAAGGAGATATTAATATATTTGGAGACAGGATATGCAAAATGCCTAGCACAGTTCCTGGCATAGGACAAATACTCAATAAGTATTTAGTGAATGAAGCAGAAGGTCAATCCACTCCAAATGAAATGATGCATGTGAGAGCACTTTGCAAACCACAAAGCTCTGTGATGCCATGGTGGGTTACTATCATCACTGTCAAATACAGAAATGTTCTGGAGCAAAGCCGGCTCTCCCCTCTGGCTTTCTTGATCCTGATCTTTTGGGTACAATCTCACATACAGTCTTAATTTAAGCGAATTCATAACCCAATTTTTACATGGATCCTATCCATCCCTCTCTCTTACCCTCTCCCTCTAGGTACTGGTTCTTAGGTTAAATCTTGAGTTCCTTACGTAAGAGTACCAAACAGTGACGGCTCTGGTGGTTCCGTACTGAGTCAGCCTACCTAAGCCCAAAGGACATTTCCCAGATTTTTCCTTCTTTCTATGGCCCTCGTTATGGTTGGCCATAAGAGAAATTGGCATGAGATTTGGAAAGCAGACCAACCATCACAACACTTGAAGGTTGGTGCAGGGCTACAGGTGCCATCACAGCTCATGAACACAAACAGACACCAGCATTTACCTACTTGCTTACCTCCTTAGCATGGAGCAGCGGCCAGTTCTGCAGCTCCCCTCAGCTCCTGCTGAGTTTTGGCTCAGGTGTGTGTGCACCCCTATGGTAAAGGGCACATACCTCTTCTATAGGGTTAGTTGTGGTGAAAGACAGGGAAAGGTTCCAGGTTGCCCTTGATCTCTCCTGTATCAGGTCCAGCTTATCTTCCTGCATCCTTCTCCCACTATTGTGAGAAGTCTAATTGCTATGGGAAATTATTTCATATCACTAAGAGTGACTCTGCCTCCCTGATGAAACCATGAGCAAGAAAACCTAAAGGATGAGTTCTCTGAATTGGTTCTGGAGTTGGCTCTCTGATCTGATTATATTTAAAAGCGTTAATGACTCTGATGCCAGTAGTAAAGGGGACCTGGTGGTAACAAAAGAGTTAATTACATTATCACCTATAAATACCTGTAATTAAGTGCCTATAGAAGGCAGGGCTTTGGATAACCAAGTAGTTGCTTCTGTACAATATTTCAGCAAAAATAAGGAAGATACAGATGTTGATAGGTAGCTTCTAGGTTACTGAAGAACTTGGAGAAAAAAAAAATTATGACTAAGTTCCCAATACAAAGACTAACTAAGGGAAATCTTTAGTTCCTGTGGCTATAGGGCAAATATTTCTGAAAATCAAACCCAAGGTCTAATTTTGGGAAGAATTATGCAAACTGAAATCACAACCTCACAGAGTATCTTATGGTAAAATTAGCACATTGATTAGGAAGAAGTGTGGTTCTGAGCATTGGGGTAGACATATGGGCAGATTCAGATGAAGCTGGGAGCTAGAACTTGAATTTTGCTGAGCCTTTTTTGCCAGTAGTAGAAGCACTCCCTTCCTAGCTAATGAGCTCACCTTGCCTAAAGAAACTGCAATGGCCTTTCACCGAGCCTGGACCAGAACAAATGACCAGAGGTGCCTTGCAAGAAACTACTGATTCTCCTTAAGACCTACCTACTCTCAATTCTTCTCATTGCTTCTAGACCTATAACTAGACTCAAGTTTCAGCAGGCTCCAGGGGTTAAAGTTTAAAGTGTGATCCATGTGAAACTGTCATATACATCAAAAGAATTATAAGCTTTTTCCATTCATAGTCACAGAAACCTGAGAAACATGTTTAGAAATGGATCTTAATGATGTTGAATCAGGGAAAGAGGAAGATAATGCTGGACCAGGCCAAAGATTTCAATACAGGTACACTGGAAAGAGATTCTGGATTCAGTGTATTACATTGAGTAACTTAGAGTGATTCTAACAGTTTGGTTCATTGACTAAAACCTAGACAAAATGGTGGCTTATACCTAGGGCAATTGAAATACTAGAACTTTCTTGATATGGAGAAAGGTACCCAAATGCTTAGGGGGACCAAAATGCTGGGGTAGATTTATTATGTGAGGCCTGCTTGCCTATCACTTTCTAATTATGTCCCCAGGAGGGGCCAGAAGACACTCCCTTCATGAAGGTATTGAGATATGG